>NW_025791812.1:177865-355731 GCF_000001405.40 Homo sapiens | reverse complement strand
AACAGATCATAGCCTGGAGCTCAGCGAGCACTGTGCATGCAGAGGGATGGGGGCAGGCTGGGCCGGGGTGTTTGCAGCTAGCTCGTCTGTAATAGTGATCATGGGGAAGCAGCTACATGCCCATCCACAGAGTGGCATCAACCACCATTCACCTGGCCTCCGCACTACCATGCAGCAGAGATTCTGAGTCCTGGAAGCCATCTGTGATCCGCTGTTGTGCAGAAAAGCCCACCACAGAGCAGGTGTGCCTGGTTCAATATGATTCTCATTTGACATCAAAACCAAAGCCAGCACCACCCACAGGACTTGCCTTTTTTCGTGAGAAAATATCATATACAGAGAGTGGAATGATTCTCCCAAATCAATACTGAGATTACTTCGGGGGAGCAGTATTTGTACCCTGGGCTAGATGGGATGGGAAGTGGACAAGAACACCAGTCTTATGTACAACACTTTGATTTTTGTTTTTTACAAAGACAGTGGGTCCGTGAATGACTTGTGTAATTAAAAATTAATTTTACAGCCAGGTGCTGTGGCTCATGCCCCTGTGGTCCCAGCACTTTGGGAGGCTGAGACAGGAGGATCACTTGAGGGCCAGGAGTTCAAGACCAGCCTGGACAACATAGCATGACCTCGTCTCTACAAAAAAAATTTTAAAAATCAGCTGGGTGTACTCTCTCCTCCCGCCGCCCAAGATGCCGAAAGGAAAGAAGGCCGGGGGATGAAGGTGGCTCCAGCCCCTGCTGTCGTGAAGAAGCAGGAGGCCAAGAAAGTGGTGAATCCCCTGTTTGAGAAAAGGCCTAAGAATTTTGGTGTTGGACAGGACATCCAGCCCAAAAGAGACCTCACCCGTTTTGTGAAATGGCCCCGCTATATCAAGTTGCAGCATCAGAGAGCCTTCCTCTATAAACGGCTGAAAGTGCCTCCTGCAATTAACCAGTTCACCCAGGCCCTGGACCGCCAAACTGCTACTCAGCTGCTTGAGCTGGCCCACAAGTACAGACCAGAGACAAAGCAAGAGAAGAAGCAGAGGCTCTTGGCCCAGGCCGAGGAGAAAACTGCTGGCAAAGGGGACATCTCCACTAAGAGACTACCTGTCCTTCAAGCAGGAGTTAACACCCAGTCACCACCTTGGTGGAGAATAAGAAAGCTCAGCTGGTGGTGACTGCACACGATGTGGATTCCATCAAGCTGGTTGTCTTCTTGCCTGCCCTGTGTCATAAAATGGGAGTCCCTTACTGCATTATCAAGGGGAAGGCAAGACTGGGGCGTCTAGTCCACAGGAAGACCTGTGCCACTGTCGCCTTCACACAGGTTAACTGGGAAGACAAAAGTGCTTTGGCTAAGCTGGTGGAAGGTATAAGGACCAATTACAATGAGAGATACAATGAGATCCACCATCACTGGGGAGGCAATGTCCTGGGTCCCGAGTCTGTGGCTCGCATCGCCAAGCTCAAAAAGGTAAACGCTAAAGAACTTGCCACTAAACTGGGTTAAATGTACACTGTTGAGTTTTCTGTACATAAAAATAATTAAAATGATACAAATTTTGCTTCAAAAAAATTAGCTGGGCATAGTGACACATACCTGTAGTCCCAGTTACTCAGGAGGCTGAAGTGGGAGGATCGCTTGAGCCCAGGAGTTAGAGGCTGCAGTGAGCTATGATTGTGCCACTGCGCTCCAGCCTGGGCAACAGAGCAAGACCCTGTCTCAAAAGAAAATGAATGTTATAAAGGGTGAGAGGAGAGGCGGCAAAGGAGGAGCAAAAGAGACTAGTAGAAAGACACACCTTCCATTTGTCCATCCTCCTCTCCAACCTGAGACCCAAAAGGAAGCCAGGTGCAGGTCCTCTTCCCAGGAAGCTCCATGTCTGAGCGAAGAGAAAGATGCCCTCATACCCATGCCCGGGGGCTCCTGGAAGACAGGAGTCAGCCAGCAAAGGCCTCTGTGGGGACGACCCAGGGCCTCATTGTCCTCATTGCACCTGCCAGTTGTACACTGTCCTCCCACCCAGTTTCCTCACTCTTATCTAGTTTGGATTCCACAGTCCCTCTCTCTTTGTTGTTGAACTTGCAAAGCCTCAGCTCTTCAACTGCACAGACTTTGATTCTCCACTTATTCTCAGCCTCCTTTGTTTTTTTCAATGATGCCTTATTCTTAATACGTGGAGGGGGAAGGAAGAAGAAGGAGGCCAGAGGTGGAGTAGGAGGACATACCTGTAGGGTGTTCATAGGGAGACTCCGTCTCCACCCCAGGCAGATGGGAGCTTACGTCTGGACTTTACTGTGTGCAAAAAGGCATGGATAGTAAGCCACCCTGTTTCCCAGAGAAAACTGCCCCAGCAGAAAAGGCAGAACAGGAAGAAGCGGCAGGAAGTTCAGGCCTGGGGCTCTGGACCTTGCCTGAGCCTGGTGGTGGGTTCAGAGCCAGCCACAGGTAGCCATAGAGAAGTGGGGCTGTGGAGAAAACAGCAGAGCTTAGGATTCCCTCCCCAGCACTTCTGTGCACAGGAGTTGGTGGGGGGCAGGGCAGGAAGGAGACATTAACAGAAGGCCAAGATCTCAAGAGAATTTCTCCCTGAACTCTGGGCTTCTGCAGGGCATAGCCTGGGGTTTGGGCGTCTGTGTCATAATCAGAGCACCTAGGAAGTGTCCAACTGATGTTTGGTGGTGGAGGGATGGATGTTGGAGGGATGGATGGATGGATGTGGTTCAGGCACTAGATTCTTACATCAGGGCTGAGGCAGGGGCTGAGGGGATGGAGAGGGATTATCTACCTGCCCTTTCGAGGGAGATGTGGCAGGAAGAGGGGACAGATGGACCATGAAGACAGGGATAAGAGCAGCCAGAGGTGACTTGGTGCTCCTGGCTGCTGAGCCCTGGGTGGCAGAGATGCTCAGTGCCAAGGAGAATGGAGATAGAGCACCTCTGGTGGGTACAAAAACAATGCGATGGCTTGAGCTGGGCAGGGCTTCGTCAAGCTTGAGCCTGTGTCTTAAGGGGAAGGGAAAGGGTCTGGGCTGCATGAGGGGCCAAGGGGGTGGTGTCAGCACAGAAAGCTGTGGGTGAGCACATCCAGGGAATGTGTGCAGAGAAAGCAGAAGACTCCAGATAGGCCTTGGGGCCCCATGGTGTGAGAACAGACGGAGGGGGAGTTAGGGAAGTAGAGGAGGAGAGACAGGACAGACAGACCACCCTTGGCACTGAACTAACTAAGCAGTTTATAGACAAATAAAAGAGCAGGAGACAAACAGCAAGGAGAGTGACAGAGAGGGTGGGGGGCAACTCTAGTCACACCTCAGAGCAAGAGATGAGACCCACATGTGTGTTCACAACGGTGACTGGAGAGGAAAAAGGACATGGGTCCTGGCACTCAGTAGCTGCTGTGTTTGTGGATGGATGGATGGATGGATGGATGGATGGATGGATGGATGGATGGATAATGAATGAATGGATGGAGAGATGGATGGATGGATGAATGAATGGATGGGAGAACAGATGGAGAGATGGATGGATGGATGATGAATGGATGGATGGATGGTTGGATGGATGATAGATAATGGATAAATGAATGGATGAATAGATGGAGTGGAAGGATGGGTGGATGGATGGAGTAATTCAGGGAGTAAGAATAAAATCAGATAAAAGAGCCAGGAAGAAAAAGACTCCTATGTGACCACTTTGCTGGTCATCATTGTGATAACCAAAATTTCCTCTGGGAAAGGGGGTGGAAACTAGGATCAGGAAAATCAATAAGAAATTTAGAACTTTAGAGCAAAACTCCACAAGCCCCAGAAAAGAGAGAGCTGCAGGGGAAAGTCAGCCAGCACATGCACAAAGCACACACACACACACACACACACACACACACACACACACACACACACACAGAGATACACTGCAAGAATGACGCACAGCCTCAGAGCAAAATTCAATAACTCTCCTCTAGAGAGAGGGAAAGAGCAGAGATGAGCAAGACAAAGTCAGATACAGGAAGAGAAGGGGGAGTAGACGTCAATAAGAAAGTTGAAAACAAGAGGGGGCGTGAGCCATGCCAGCAGGCAGTGGGGGTGGCAGGCAGAGGCCCAGCATGGGCTCACAGGGGAGCCAAACCCTCCAAAAGGTATGCCACTCCGCACATGGCACCTGGGAGGGGATCCATGCACATTGGCTGGATGGATGTGTGGATGGGAATGATGGGTGGATGAAGTAACCCAGAGACTGGAAACAAAACCTGATAAAGGGCTTGGAGAGAGAAAGTTCTAGATGCCCTCTACTTCCCCTGTCCCTTTCACCCTTCTCCTTTGCTCTAGGAGGCTGATGACACCCTTCAGGGAGGTGCTCTTCCCTCTGGCTTCCAGCTGGGCTTGGCCAGTGAGATGGCCAGCAGGAGATGATGGGGGAGGAGAATGAGATAAGGATGCTTATCCCCCCGGGTCACCTCAGTCTGGGTGGTCCCTCTCCTAGAGGTCTCAGCTCCCAGCAAGGCAGCCCCTCTAGGTGACAGTTTGCCTCCAGGGCCTGGTCACTCATTACTTCCACCCTTCACCCCTTAGGGAGTAGGGGGTGGTCACAGCCTCACAACTATTAGCTCTAGGTTTCTGCAAAATCCCACATCCTGCAATACAGCACCTTTGTAAACAAACTCGCCTCAGATTTTCCTAAATTTAAGTGTTCCATCCCTTTCCTGTTAGGACCCTGACTAACACAAACCCACAGTGAAAAAAATAGACAACACAAACACACACACCCCATGCTGGGACACATAAAGTGACAGCAACATCTAGAAAGAACAGGGAGGGATGAGAAGCTGAGAGGGAACAAGAAAGAAAAGGAGACAGAAAGAGTAACCCAGGGCCCCAGGAGGCGGAAGGGAGAACGCACTAATGGGAAGGGGAAGCAGGGACACAGGTGTTCGCGGCAACCTCATTTTAATTACAAAAGAGTAGAAACCATCTAAATGCCCATCACCAGAAGAATGGCCAATAAACCATGACAGCTCTGCCTGCTGGAATACTATGCAGCTGACAAAAAGGCAGATGGACAGCTTTATATATTGAGATGGAAGGAGATCCCCAAAATATGTCAAGTCAAAGTCCCACTGAAGAGCAATATTCATAGCTCAATGCAATTTCTATGAGGAAAAAATGCCCTAAGCCAAAACCTACCAAAAAAATCAGATTCTATAGGGGAAAAATATACATTTTTATGTTTAAAAATATGTATGTAGTATAGAATGATTCCTGCTAAAGTAAGAACTGGTTTTCCCCAGAGGAAATGGCTAGAGAACAGGATGGGATGAGTGAGTGTCAAAGGAGACCTTTAATCTTATTTGTAATACTTTACTATTTATGCAAAGATGATGTGGTCATGTGTCACTTAAGTAATTAAATATTCATATTTTTTTCAAGACAGGCTCTTGCTCTGTCACCCAGGCTGGAGTGCAGTGGTGAGATCACAGCTCACTGCAGCCTCGTCAAACTCCTGGGCTCTGGTGATCCTCCTGCCTCAGCCTCCCTGGTAGCTGGGACTATAGGCACATATACCACCACACCCAGCAAATTTTCTGATTTTTTTTGTAGAGACGAGGTTTCACAATAAGCATTAATTTTTTGAAAGAGAAAGAGAACAAGAGAGTTAAAGGAAGAGAAGAGATCCTCTAGAAAGACACAACTTTCATCCATCTGTCTGTCTGTCCTCCCCTCCAGCCAGCCTCTCCTCCATGCTGAGCACCAGACATGCAGACTCTTCTTAAGAAGCTCAAAGAAAGATGTCCAAACCTAGCCGTTCCTGAGGGTCCCAGTGCCCTTGGGGGGCAGGGGAGCTTCTCCAGGGGAAGGTTCAGCAGGGCTCTCTGTGGGGAGGACACAGGAAGGAGCCCTGTCGAGGCCGTGGCCAGGGGAACAGCCCCTCAGGGCAATGGATGTGGGGGTCCCAGCTCAGCAGGAAGAGTTGGCCACAGACACAGTCAAGGTGTGAATGGACCCTATGGCCTGAGAGGGATGGAACCGACCCACAGAAGAGTTTGTGCAGCAGGTTGGGGAAGGCAGGGCCTGGCCTGGGGAGCGCTACGACGCAGCAGATCACAGAGCAAGAGGATTCCACCAAAGCAAACAGCAGAGGTGGCAGGACAGACCCTCACTGTCCCAGGAGCTTAGGGAGGAGAGGGATCCTGGTCCTGGCACCTTGACCAGGACCCCTCATGAACGAGGGGAGAGGAGGAGATAAAAGATCCTATTCCATTTGGCAAACAGGTCAGTGGAGGCCCCAGGTGAACCCCGTGGTGGGCTCAAGGTCGGGGCAGGTGGTGGTCACAGAGGGCCCGGGAGGGAAGAGGGGAAAGAGCCTGAAGTTCCATCTCAAACTCCTCTGTGGACGGAGGAGAGAGCAGATGAGAGGGAGATGGGAACGAAAAGTCAGCGGAGGGAAGTGAACAAGTTTGCCTCTGAAAAACCCAGGAGAGGGGAACATGGCGTTGCCAGGGCAACCACACGAATGGGGTAATGGAGAGGAGTGAAGGGAAGACGGGGTGGGAGTGTGGCTTAGAGGAGGCAAACCTGAAAGGTGGGGGCAGTAGAGGGGAAGGGCGCCTGGACTCGAGTGCCCAGGGATGGTGAAGGGGAGCACAGGGGAAGGATTGGGAAGTCAAGGATTTCTCCCTGGGCTTAGAGAGTTTGTGATGCCGGTGGGACGTCCAGGAGGTGGGGGCGGGTAAGAAGATGTTTAGATGCGTAGGCCTGGGGTGTACGTAGGGGGGCCCGGGTGGACACAGAGGCAAGCAGAGGGAATCTCAGAAGCCCCACAGGTGGGCGGCCTGGCCCGGGGAGGGGGTATGCGTGGAGGGGCGCAGATGGAAGAGAACACAGCCCAGGGCTGGCTGACGCTGGAGGGGTGAGGGAGGAACGGGTGTGGAGAAGTGGGCAATGCAGAAAGACACCACACGCACACATACACACAACACACAACACAACACACATATAACACACACATGCACATGTACACGCACAACACACACACACAACACACATAACACAATACACACAACACACACCCACATGCACACACACATTACACACACACCCTGAGTGTGATGCTCGGTGACCCAACCCAGTCTTCTTGTGATATAACAACCGGTGTGTCTGCCCTGGACTCCAAGTTTCTTCAGGACACAGCCTGGGTGGGACTCCGGGCTCTTCACCCTCAGCAGCGCACACACAGATGTTCAATTCACGTTTGTTGAATGACTACTGGATAGATGGGTGGGCAGACACAGACAGATGAAGCAGGACGGGAAAGGTGGGAACCAACCTTGACCTTGTGTATACACTCATGCGCACACTGCAGGAATGATGCACAAACAGCCCAATTCAACAAGCTCCCCTGGAGAGTTGGAGGAGCGAGGCTGAGGGAGCAGGAGACAGAGGCACCGAGAGAGGGGGTGGTGCATCAGAGAAAAGTTTGAAAAGTCAAGGAAGGGGAGCAGAAGCCTGGGGAGGCAGACAGGCGGAGGAGCAGGCGCGCAGCCCACCCGCCGGCTCCCAGGAGGCGCTCACATGCTTTTGTTAGGTGGGTGGTGAACGCCGCAGCACAGAGAGGGCAACCAAGCCTGAGAAAGGCCTCAGGGGGGAAAGCCCCCAGGGCGACGCAGATGCCCAATGACTCCCACACCTGCCCTTCCCGCCCCACCGGCCCCGCTCCTCCTCCCTGCTCTGGGCTGGGGAGGCTGAGCCCCGTGGATGAGCCTTGGGCCTACAGCTTCGCGCTGGACCTGGCCACTGGGGACCCCCAGCAGGAGAGTGGAGGGAAGAGGGAGGGAGATCAGCATGTCTGCTCCCCCAGAGCTCAGGCTGCTGTGCCCTCTGCTCTCAGCTGCCCTCTCAGCTGCCTTCTGGAAACTTCTCCTCCCTGGTTCCTTTGGATTCACTGGAAATCACAAGTTTGCTGCTCTCCTGGCTCCTGCACCCCCTCCCTCAGCACCTTTGTAAACAGACCCTCCTGAGGCTTCCTAGATTGGAGGGAGACATCTGTTTCCTGTTGGGGCCTGAATGAAGAGAGGAGCAGGGGTCAAAGGGCACCTCAGTCCTACATGGAAGGCTTCAGTTTTTTACAAATACAGTGGGTCTTTATAGCATGTGTGGAGTTAAAAAATGATTTTCCAAAAGGAGATGGGAAGCAACAAGGGGAGAAAGAGTAAGAGGGTAGAAGAGCAGAGCTCGCAGATGCCCCGTCTGTCCTCATCTCCACACTTCCCTCAGTGCCAAGACCCTGAGAGAGGTCACACCCAGGCCCCACAGAGCCCGTGGCCTGGCGGGGACAAGGACGACCACAAGCCTGGTGCTGAGTGCTCCCAGGGGAGTGCTCCCTGCATCCAGGAGGGCCCAAGGGAAGGCTCAGCGGGAGCTTCTCTGGGGAGGACAAGGGCCCTCTGGGGAGGACAAGGGCCCAGGCCTTCTTCTCTACAATGGTGGGGCGTGGGAGAAGGGGATGGAACCTGGTGGCCACTCCACATGGAGCCTCCCCGTCAGGCTGATGACATCTGGGCTCTGCAGAGAGGGCCAGAGTGGAGCCTGGCCAGGGGTCAGCCTTGGAAGGGCAGGAAAGTGCTGGGGAGCAGGCAGGGCAGGGCCCTGGAGCACCGGAGTCCCACGCAGCTGGCAGGAGAAACCCTTCAAAGGAATGGAGGAGGCCCAACTGAGAGGTGCGGGAAAGTCTGGCCTCCGTGTCTGGGGCCCAGGGAGAGGCTGCTGTCCAGAAGCCAGCACTGGCCTCCATGGGGCAGGGGAGCGAAGAATGGATAGGCTGCAGGTTTGTCAAGGAGCAGGTAGGCAGACTTGCGGGGCACTATGAGGGGCTTAGGGCAGGGGTCCTCAGTTGCAGAGGGGAAGGCAGAGAAACCTCCAGGCCTAATACTCCCTCCCCAGCTCATCTGTGGCCAAACAGGAGGGAGCCTATGAGGGCGCACAGTCTCACCCCCACCTCCACCACCTCATCTACCTGCTGAGAGGGCCATGGGGAAGAGAGAGCGTCAGGTGGGGGTGGGAGTGAGATTTTGCGGAAAAGATTGTGAAGACCTGGGGCACATTAGAGGTAGGGCAGGGAGAGGGGAGGGGTGGCCAGACAGCTGGGTCTGGGAGTGGGGGTGGGGGTAGGAGGATGGAGAGTTTGATCCTGGCTCAGGGAGTCTGTGAAGCTGGTGGAACCAGTGAACAGAGCAGGGGAGAGAATAGTGAACATGTGATGTCTGGGGCTTGAGCTGAAGAGCCGTGATGGGGGGACACTGAGGTGAGGCAGTTTGTTGCAGGGCCTTTGAATTCCCAGGAGTGGACAAGCAGGGAGATCTCAGGGAGGGAGAGAAGCAGAAGAGGGAGGCGCAGCTGCAGAGGCATCTGCGCTAGAGCAAGGAGGAGGCAAAGGGGCTGGAGAAGTAGCCAGGAGTGACCCCACCCATGCACACATGCACCCACACACATACACACATGCGCACACACACATGCACACGCAGGTGCACACTCATATGTATACACATATGCACACACGCACACATGTGCACATGCACACACACTGTGATTTGCAGCGTGACATAAAGTCTTAGGAAGCCTCCATCAGCCATCTTTTAGTGCAGGCATAACTGCTCTGTATTCTCCCTGGACTCTGAGCTCCCACAGGCCATGGCCTAAGGCTTTGTGGCCTGTGACCCCAGCGAATACCCAGTGGGTGCTCAGTGCAAGTCTGTTAATGGATGGATGAAAGGATGGACGATGAGGGGATAGGTAATGGGGGAATGGATGATGGGTGGACAGAAGATGGGGGGATGAATAATGGGAGGATGGATGATGGGGGATGGATGGGTAATGGGGGAGATGCATGATGGGGGGTGGATGGATGACAGATGGATGGATGATGGGGGATGGATGGGTAATAGGGGAGATGCATGATGGGTGGGTGGATGCATGACGGATGGATGGATGATGGGGGATGGATGGATGATGGGAACATGGATGGATGATGGGGGGGTGAATGCATGATGGGGATGGATGGATAATGGGGGATGGATGGATGGTAGAGGATGGATGGATAATGGGGGATGGATGATGGGGGATGGATGGATGGGGATGGATGGATGATGGGGACATGGATGGATGATGGGGGATGAATGGATAATGGAGGGATAGATGGATGGATGCTCCTGGCATCATAAACCTGACAACTGGGCTATGTCAGGGGCTGAAGTGATCGGAGTGGGGAGGGGGCTGCTTAGCCACCCCTTGGAGAGAGACTTGAAAGGAAAAGAGGACAGATGGGTAGTGGGCAGCAGGAGGGAGTGGAATCAGAGATGACTCGTGCTCCTGGCTGTGAAACCCCAGGTGGTGGTGAAGCTCAGTGCCAATGAGAACTGAGTGAGAAACGCATTTGGAGGATGGGGACAGGATGTGCTGGGCTTGAGTGAAAGAGCCCAGTCTGTGTGAGCCACGATTCACTGGCAGGATGAGGAGAGAACAAGTAGGGTCTGGGCTGCAGGGGATGCTGGAGTGTCAATGCAAAGAATGACTCTGTGAACCTCAGGGAGCTGGTGAAAAGCTGGGGAGGGAATGATCCAGGACAGGAACCTGGGGCCCCAAGATGTGAGGGTAGGTAAAGCAGGAGGAGTCAGGAAGGAAAGAAAGACACAGGACACACAGGCAGACCCTGGTCCTGGCTCAACAAGTATGGTGTGTTGGATGTATGGACTAGCAGATGGATGAAGAATCACTGAGAAAAACAGAGAGGATGGAATCCAATGAAGACCAACATATGTACACATGTGCATGCACACACAGCAAGACCTGGAGAAAGTGGGAAACTTTATGAGCTTGAGAAAAAGAGAGGGAGCTAGGGGGAAGCTGTGCGCACGCATGTGTGTGTGCACACACATACAAACACACACACAGCAGGAAGGATGCACCAACTCAGAGCAAAATTAAATAACACTTCTTGAGAGAGTGGGAAAAAAACACACTGAGCCAGGAGACCAAGACAGAAGCTGGATGAGCAAGATGATGTGTACATTCAAAAAATTAGAGCATGGGAAGTAGAGCGAGGTGGGGTCTTCAGGGAGATGGCCAGGCAGGCAGGTGAGACCCAGGCACATGCATGCACACAGACACCCTGACACACACATGGCCAAGCTTGAACACCAGTTCCTGGAACAGGCTCAGTGCGTTTTTCTGAATGGGTACACGGTGGGTGGGAGGATGGGTGGGGTAGCCCAGAGGGTGAGAACAAAAACCTGAGAAAGGCCCCAGAGAGGAGTCACCTGAAATTATCCTAATTTGGTTGTGATATCACTTTCCTGATGGGACCTGTTACTGTTACATAAACAGAATGGGGAACAGACAACGCACACACTCCCCACACACATACTCAAGAACTAGGGCCAAGTCCAAGGGGAACTGGGAAAGATGAGGGAGAAACAAAGGGCAAATGAGGCCAAGAAGGGGAGTGACAGAGCACTTGGAGACCCCAAGAGACAGATGAATGCCCAGACAAGGTTTGGAGTGCCCTGGAACCTAAAAGAGGGAGCCAGAAGGAGACGTGTGTGTTCACTGCAGCCTCGTCTGTAATGGTGAAAAGGTAGACACAACCAAAGTGTCCTTCCCTGGGGAAATGTCTACATAAACCCCAGTGCCTCCCTTTTCCAGAATCCTATGCAGCAGAGGAAAAGAATGTAGTGCAACTCTCTGTTCTAAAGGGGGAAGAGGGCCCTATGGGGGCTGCTGGAGGTAAAAGCCCCTGGAGAATAATGTATACAGTATGAGGCCATTTCTTTAAAAAACACCAAACAGTATTCTGCATTTTCTAGAGGAATATATATGCTTCCATTTCCAACTGTTCATTGACTTTTTTTTATATTGGCCATTTTTACATTGGCCTTTTATTGTGCAACCTTGCTAAACTCACTTTCTAGTTCTGGGTGGGGGGTTGTAGATTCTTTGGAAGTTTCTATATAGATAGTAATGTCATCTGCTAATGGAGACAGTTTTAGTTCTTCCTTTCCAGGCTATATCTTCTTTTATTTCTTTTTATTGTCTTATTGCACTGGCTAGGACTGCCAATATCATGTTAAATAGAAAGACTAAAAGCAGGTGCCCTTGCCTTGTTCCTGATCTTAAGGGAAAGCAGTATCATCATTGGCTTTGTTTTGGGCTGTTTTATGAGAGAGAGAGAGAGAGAGAGAGAGAGAGAGAGAGAGAGAGAGATGAATTTTTTCCCACTAATTTGATAACTTAGTTTCCTCTTAGGAAAGAGAGGACTGGGGACCAGGAGGTAGGGTGGTGGGTACAGTGGAAGAGACTTTAGTCTCATATGTAATGTTTTAATCTTTTAAGAAGAAAATGTATTTGCATATCACTGATGAGATTGGAAAGCAAAATAATTTTGGTTAAAAAAAAAATAGAAGAATGACAGGAAGGGGAGAAAGGGACTGATAAAGAAGAGGATGAGGCCAGGCGCAGTGGCTCATGCCTGTAATCCCAGCACTTTGGGAGGCCAAGGTGGGTGGATCAGTTGAGGCCAGGAGTTCAAGACCAGCCTAGGCAAAATGGTGAAACCCCATCTCCACAAAAAAATACAAAAAAATTAGCCAGGTGTGGTGGCATGCCCCTGTAGTCCCAGCTACTCTGGAAGCTGAGGTGGGAGGATCACTTGAGCCCAGGAGGTCAAGGCTGCAGTGAGCTGTGATTGTGCCACTGCTCTCCAGCCTGGGTGACAGGCTGAAACCCTGTCTCAACAAAAGAAGAAGAAGAAGAAGAGTAAGACAAAGAGGAAACCCACAGACATACATGACTTCCGTCTATCTGTCCATCCCCTTCCCCACCCAGCCACACACATCCCTAGCCTTCCTCTGTGCTGACATCCACAGAAGACCCTGACATCAAGGTTCACAGTCTCGTAGGGGAGAAAAGTGCCCAAACCAAGGCATGCCTGGCTGTTCCTTGGGGGAGCTCTTGGGAGATGATGGGGGTCCTGGGGGGAAGAAGCCAGCAGAGGCTTCATCAAAGGGGACATACAGTGTGTTATTCTTGAAAGATGGGTTTGGGAAGGGAAGGAAAAGAGGTCATTGTAGCCAATGGTGAGGAGGAGCCCATAAGACACCCACAGGGACCTCTCACATTGGGCAGATGAACGTGCAAAGGACAAGAGACTGAAGATCTGGCACACAGGAGGTGGGTAGAGGGCCCTGCCTGAGCACCTTGGCTGGCACAGAGGAAGCAGGGGTGGCAACACTGAAGCCAATGGCTCCCTCCCCAGCTCTTCTGATGATGGAAGGAGAGAGGGGACAGAAGGGAGACAGATCAAGATGAGAGTTTCTCTACAGGTTAGAGAGAAGTGGGCATGCTCCCCAGCTGAGAGCAGCCAGGAGAGAAGGGAGAATGGCCGTTGCCAGGGCAACAATACTGGCCATGAGGATGGAGAGGACCAAAGGGGAAGACAGGGGAGAGATGTTAGAGGAAGAATTGGCAAGAAATTAGAGTCAAATTGAAGATGGATATCTCTTCCCCATCCAAGGAGGAAGAGAAGGTGTCTGGGTTTTTGGTCTCAGAGATGGGGGTGGGAACAAGGAAGGGGAGTGGGGATGTTAAGGGGTTTGATGCTATCTTGCCAAGTCTGTGTTGTTGCTGAGCATCTGAGTGGATTTGTCTAGTATAGCATCTACCACAAAATATTTTAAAATGGAATAACTGAATAAAGTAATAAATTAACAAATGAATAAATGAATGAGGCAAACCAGAAGTTATATCAAAGCCCACTATGTGAGAGAGAAACAGAAATATGACCCACAGTGACACAGGCACAGACATGGGTGTGCATTCACACACACACACACACACACACGATGATGCACTCACAAAGGGGAGGCCAAACCTGTGTGGGCTCAGAGAGAGAACCCTGAAGCCAAGAGACAAGGAAGAAGGGAGCTCAGAGGGCAAGTCAGGGAGGCAGAGAGGTGAGTGGAGGGCACAGAGGTGAGAGCTATTAAGGAACCAACCTGAAAGGACCTGAGCCATGCCTGTAACCCACAAGAATTGACAGAGCGCCTACTGCATGCCAGACAGTGCTGAATGACCAAATTACGGCACAGAGCAGAACAGATCCAGCCCCTGCTGGGTGGACGTACATGAGCACCGTCTGCGTGAAGCGCATCTCTGCAGCCCTGGTCAGGGACAGCATGGTGCAGGCACACTAATCATGGAAGGACCTGGGCCAAAGCGGGAGGACACAGCCCTGGTGGAGGGTTGGATGGAGGAAGGAGGTATGAAAAAGTGATAAGTAAGACAGATGCCGGCTAGGTGCAGTGGCTCACGCCTGTAATCCTAGCACTTTGGGAGGCCGAGGTGGGAGGATTGCTTGAGCTCAGGGGTTCAAGACCAGCCTGGGCAACATGGCGAAACCCCGTCTCTACCAAAAATACAAAAATTGGCAGGGCATTGGTTCATGTGCCTGTAGTCCTAGCTACTCGGGAGGCTTAGGTAGGAGGACTGCTTGAGCTGGGGAGGCAGAGGTTCCAGTGAGCCGTGATTATGCCACTGCACTCAAGCCTGGGTGACAGAGCCAGACCCTGTCTGAAAAAAAAAGAGAGAGATCACTCCCCCAAACACACTGTGTGATGACAAAAGGGACATAAAGCCTTGGGAAGTCTCCATCACCCATCTTGAAGGGCAGTGACAACTATTCTGTCACCCCTCTGGACTCTGAGCTCCTGCCTTTGGGGCCTGTGTGCTCAGCAGGGACCCAGTGTGTACTCAGTGCAAGTCTATTAATGGATGGGTGGGTGATGAGTGGATGGACAGATGGATGGATGGATGGGTACAGTGGTCCAGGCTTCAATTTTCTAGGCCAGGGCTGTGGCAGGGGCTGATAAGATGGTGGGGGTTGGGGGGTGCTGAGCAGCTTTTGGGGAAAGATTATACAGGAAGAACAGATGGGCTGTGGGCGGCAGGAGAGTGAGGACTCATAGATGACTTGGGGCTCCTGGCTGTGGACCCAGGCAGGCAATGACACTCAGCGCTAACGAGAACAGGGAGAGAAACACATCAGGGGTGCGGAAATGATGTGGTGAGTTTGTCATCCACTGAGTTTGTGATACCAAAGACAGCTGAGGATTGGCTTTGAGTATCCAACTTGTGAGCATGAGGGCAACCTGGCCCTTGGGGCCGTCAGCACCAAGGGCAGGGCAAGGTGGTGCAGAGGAGGAGGGTGGAGCTCAGGACATGCACCGGGGCCCCAAGATGTGAAGGCAGGTGGAAGAAGAGGATGAGAAGGAGACAAAGGCAGGGATGGCAGACAGCATGCATTCACACATGCACACACGTACACAATGGAGCAGCCCAGGTCCTGACATGAAGCAGGTGTTTAATCAACCTCTTGTGGATGAATCAACAAATAGATGGAAAAGGTGTAAATGACAGTGACCCAGAGACCAGGAACCGCCCATCCCAAGTCCCAGGGGGAAAGAAGTGAGAGACTGACAGATGTACACACACACACACACACACACACACACACACACAGCATGAATGGCTTGCAGACTCAGAGCAAAAACCCAACAAGGCTTCTCTGTAAAGAGAAAGGGAAAATGTGGCTTTGGAAGGAGATAAAAACCCAGGCATTGAGGGAAGGGAGATGGGACCC
Source organism: Homo sapiens (assembly GCF_000001405.40). Taxonomy (NCBI): domain Eukaryota; kingdom Metazoa; phylum Chordata; class Mammalia; order Primates; family Hominidae; genus Homo; species Homo sapiens. The sequence continues at coordinate 340,063 of NW_025791812.1, read as the reverse complement.
TCAGACACACAGCAGGGACATGGATACAGGCACCCTACAGATACAGGCACAAACTCACCTCTCACTGACTGGCACAGAATATTTTAGATGGATGGATGGGCGGGTGGATGGATTGATGGATAGATGGATGGATAAATGGAAGAGTGGATGAATGGATGGGTGAATGGATGAGTGGATGGGTGGGTGGATGGATGAATGGATGAGTGAGTGGGTGGGTGGATGGATGGATGGATGGATACATGAAAGTGAATGAATGGATGGGTTGATGGATGAGTGGGTGGAGAGACAGATGAATAAATGGAGGAGTGAATGAATGGATGGGTGAATGGATGAGTGGATGGGTTGATGGATGAGTGGATGAGTGAGTGGGTGGATGGATGGATGGATAAATGGAAGTGAATGAATGGATGGGTGGTTGGATGAGTGGATGGGTGGATGGATAGGTGAGTGAGTAGGTGGGTGGAGAGGAGGATGGGTGGATGGATAGGGGGTGGGTGTGTGAATGGATGGATGGAATAATCCAGAGATGAGAACAAAACCTGATTGCTTCTCAGCCTTTTGGCTAATATCGAGTGAGAACAACACATGATAAGGGTCCAGAATATGAGAGATTCACAGATGTGTCCACACACACATATCACACATCTACACTGTCTAGCATAGCATCCACCACAAGATATTTAAAGATGGAATAACTGAATAAAGTAATAAATTAACAAATGAATGAATGAGGCAAACCAGAAGTTATATCAAAGCCCACTATGTGAGAGAGAAACAGAAATAAGACCCACAGTGACACAGACAGGCACAGACATGGGTGTGCATTCACACACTCACACACACACACACACACACGATGATGCACTCACAAAGGGGAGGCCAAACTTGTGCGGGCTCAGAGTGAGAACCCTGAAGCCAAGAGACAAGGAGGAAGGGAGCTCAGAGAGCAAGTCAGGGAGGCAGAGAGGTGAGTGGAGGGCACAGAGGTGAGAGCTGTTAAGGAACCAACCTGAAAGGACCTGAGCCATGCCTGTAACCCACAAGAATTGACAGAGCTCCTACTGCATGCCAGACAGTGCTGAATGACCAAATTACAGCAGGGAGCAGACCAGACCCAGTCCCGGCTGTCCCGGAACTGACCCTCCAGTACAAAAGACAGAAAGAAAGGAGGAGTAAATTAATGAGATCATTTCAGATAATGATAAGAGTGAAGAAGAGGATAAAGTAGGCTGGTGAGACTGAGTCCGGGGGATGGTCAGGAAAGGCCATCCTGAGGAGGTGGCATCTGAACCTAGCACTGAGTGACAAGAAGGAAGGACATAGCCTTGTGGATTCCTGGGAGGAAAGTCTTCCAGTCTGAAGGAACTGCAGGCTGAGCCCTAAGACAGGAATGAGCTTGGTGTGTCTGGGGGAGAGCAAGCAGGTCAACGGGGCTGGAACCAAGAAAGTGGGAGGGAAGCAATGCAGGAAATGAAGCCAGAGCTGGGATCAGGGTCACATCATGTCAGATTTTGTAGACTATGGCACAAAACTTGGATGTTATGAGCAGGAGGTGGCATGATCCTGTTTACAAGATCCCTCTGGTTCTAGATGGAGAATGAGTTGGAAACAGGAGTAAAAACAGGGAGCCCACAGAGGAGGCTGGGCTGGTGTCCCAGAGGAATGATGGGGGCTTGAGTTAGCATGGGGCAGCTAGGGTGAAAAACATGGAATGGATGTGGGGAGCTTTGGGAGTTAAGTCAGTACTTACCAGTGGATTAAACATGGATATGAGTCATGGAAGAACAGGGGGCTCCAGAATGACTTCTACGGTCTTAGAGTGGTGTCAGTTACTGATGTGGGAAAGACTGGGGAAGGAGCAAGTTTGTGGGAAGATGGAATGAGTTCTGCTTTGGACATAGTGAGTTTGAGATGCCTCCTGGACATCCAAGTTGAGATGTGGAATGGGCAGTGGAGTCGAGTTCAGGGAGAGCTGGAGTTAGGAAGTCGTCAGCAAATAGATGGTGTTTCAACCCAGTGAGCTGATAGAGATCAGGAGAGGGTGTGGGTACAAAAGAGAAGGGGGCCATTTAGAGGTTGGGGAAGCAACAGGATCCAGCAACAGAGACTGAGAAGGAAAAGTACAAGAGTGTCGTATCGTGAAGGCCAAGACGAGTGAATGTTTTGAGACTGAAGAAGTGATCAACCTCATCAGGCACTGCTGATGGGACAAAGAAGACGAGGCCTGAGGAGTGACCGCTGGATAGGACAAGATGGAGGTCACTGTTGATCCTGCCAAGAGCAATGCCAGCAGCAAAGTGGGGATGGAAGGCTAATTAGAGGGGCTAAAGAAAGAATAGTTGGGGATTGACTTCCAAAGTCTTGTTTTGATCAAAGACGTGCTCAAGCAAATGAGGTGGAATGGCAGCAGATGAATGCTGGGGAGTGGGATGGCTCAAAATTGAGATTTCAGAGTTGGCACTGTCATTGTATGGCAAGACCAAAGATGTGATCATAGCTGCAGTTGAACAAAGGACAATATTTTGGGCACCTGGGAGGTCCAGATCACAGTGTTGGCTACGCCATCCATGTTGGCATTGAAGTTATCAAGAATGGCCACAGAATTCAGAATAGAGAAGACAGAGAACCAAGAAACAAACAGTGATTGAGGGGACACAAGAAGGGCTTGGCAAATGACCACCCCAATGAGAAGTACTAGTGGAAGTAAACAACACAGAATTAAGAGTGATGTGGGGTGCCCTCCATGGTAGGGCACATGGCAGTCTTCTTTACCAGCACAAGGACCCCAGACAGAGAAGGAGCATGTGTAGGGGATGACGCTGAGTCCACTTGGTCCAGGTGGAGCAGTAGGTGCCTGAGGGACCTCGGGGTAGAAACCTCCAGGAAATGGCTAATCAGAGGCTCAGGATAAAAGTTAGGCAAGAGATAGAGACCCTGGAATCATCAGTATTTGTGTGGTTATTGAAACAGTGAGGAAAAGAGGGGAAAAGGAGTCATGAGGAGGGCTGGGGATGCAACCCTGAGGATGAGAGAGGGTGGCATGTCTGGAGAGACCCTTGTTTTAGACGTGTGTGTGTGTGTGTGTATGTGTGTGAGATACAGGGTCTCGCTCTGCCGCCCAGGCTGGAGTACAGTGGCACGATCTTGGCTCACTGCAACCTCTGCCTCTCCACCTCAAGCGATCCTCCCACTTCAGCCTCCCAAGTAGCTGGGATTACAGGTGCCCACCACCATGCCCAGCTATTATTTTAGACTTGAGTGGTAGCTGTGCCAGGTCCTGAAGTGAGGGCAGCCAGGCAGAGGCCCAGCTTGGAGGATTGAAGTCAGGGGCTCATTTGGAGCATGTGACGTTTGAGTGGCCACAGACTGACACATGGAGATGGCCACGGGGCAGCTGGACATCCATGCCTGGGGCTCAGGCCCAAGCTAGGAATCATCAACACAAGTCTTGCTGGTTTTTCAAGTCATAGGACTGGGTGAATCAGGATTCCCAAGGAAGTGAGGAGAGAAACAGAGACCGAGAAAGAGAAGATAAGCAGACATTGAGCCAGGGGCTCACCAACATTTCAACAACCTCTACAAGGGGTTCTCCAGGGGCTGGTCATTGGAGGACATGAGGAGAAATGCAGGAGGGACATCCCAGAAAGTGCTGAAATGCTGCCAAGAGTCAGAGGAAGAGAAAAACTAACATTTAAAATGTCCATGAAATTTGGCAGCATGGGGGCCACCTATGAGCTTGACCAGGGCAGAGGCATCAGGGGAAGGGGCTGATGGGAGTGGGTGGAGGAAATGGGGCTAGTGGTGGTGGCGGGAGTGCAATTCTTTCCCAGAGGTTTTCTAGGAAGAAAGGAAAGGAAAGGAATGGAGCTGTAGCTGGAAGAGAGATGGAGTCACGGGAAGGATCTTTTTCTAAGACCAGAGAGGCTTGCAGGCTGGCTCAGGAGACCCAGGGCATTTCCAAAGGGCAGCCATCATTCAAAAATAGTAAAAATTGTGCCCTAGAGACAAGGAGTGTGGGGGACGGGGAATCTGAGAGGAATATAAGGAAAAGAAAATGGCATACCCATGGGGTCGTTCACTCATTCATTCATTCAGAAAATCTTTAGTCACAGCTACCCGTTTAATCTTTAATTACAGCTACGGATTGCAAACCTGGCCCTGCCGCAACAGCTTTTCGGTATTTGCCTAATCCTCGAGATACTCCATGAGGAACATGTCGTCACCAGCTTCGTTAACGGACACGGGGACTTAGGAAGGTAACAGGTGTTTCAGTAAGAAGTGGAGGGTGAGACCGAAGGTGGTGGCCCAGGAAAGGGGCCCCGGAGGACAGTCGGCAGGAAATGGGCACAGATGGGTGGTGGGCGGCAGGCCACTGGAAGAGTCAGAGATGAGTCCGGGCTCCTGGCTGCAGCCCCGGTGGGTGGTGACGCCCAGCGCTAATGAGAACAGGAGAAAAACACATTTGAGGACTGTAACGACAGGCAGTGGGCTTGAGGCATCGGTGGAGGGGCCAGCAGGTGCCGGCCTTGTGCCTTCATCAAGGCGAATGGCAGGGAGGGACTCTGAGGGTCAGCACTGTGGGTAGGGAATGGGCTTCCCAGTGAGAAGGTGCAGAAGGTGGACAGGGTACAGGGAGCCCAGGACAGGACAGAAACTGCAGAAAAGAGAAAGATTCCAGGGCCCTTTACACTGAGAGAGAAATGCTTGACACATACCACCTCACACCACCTTACAGGGTGATTCTGGAGCCAGACAGCCTGGGTTCAAATCCTACCTTCACTACTTACTTGCCGTGTGACCTGGGACAAGTCTTTTCACCTCTCTGAGCCTTGGTTTCACCATCCGTGAAAGGAAATAATCATAGGGTCTATACTTGTCCCGTAAGGATTAAATGAAAAGCCCACGGAAGGTGCTTAGGACAGTTTCCAGCATGTGGTGAGCGCTGTGTAAGGATTCATGGCTGCTGCTCTTCTGTTCCGTCTTGTTTTGTCCTTGAGCACCAATAGCCTTGAGAAAGGCAGACGGACACAAAGAGACCCATGATGTGACTGAGGCTTGTTATGAGAGAGCCCGGAGTGGAAGCCACTTTCTAAAGGGGAAGCAGGAAAGGCTTCGGAAGGAAGGGCCATTTGAGCAGGGCCTCGAAGGATGCATAGAAGTTAGCCAGGTGGAGAAAGAAGGTGTGTTCCTTCTTCCAGCTGCTCCCAGGATCCACTGAGTGCACTCAGCCCCATGCTAGGCAGGCGAGGAAAATCTCCAGAGAGAACTGGAGTGCCAGGCCCACCCTCCGCCACCCCTGGCCTGGGTACGAGGCAGGTACAGAGAGACAAATAATTACAAGAGAAGATGGGAACAGCAGCAACAATGAGGTGGTGCCCAGGGGTCATGGGAGCCCCAAGGCAGGATGCCCACTTGTGGGGTGACAGGAAGGGGTGCTGTGAGAAGAAGGGAGCTGGGTAAAGGGGAGGAGGAGGGAAGGAGGGTGCATCCCAGACCGAGGGGACAGCCATAGCAAAGTGTCAAAGCTGGGGAAGGCCACTCATGTCCCCAGTGATCCTGACCAGCCTTCCCTTCCCCATCCTCACCACCCGCAGCCCTCCATAGTTTGTCTCCCATGCTTATTCCCTGAGTACCTATTAAACATCTCGGAGGAGCCACACCTGCGTGGACCAACCTCTTTCCTTCTTCCCTACTGCCACCGCAGCCCCTCACAGCCTCTGCACCTTCCTTCTTCTTCCTTGCTGCCAGAGGGCACATTATCAAACTCCCCAACTGTGACAGATCACCCCCTTGCTCTATAACCTTCACTAGCTCCCTACGGGCCATGCAGTAAAGTCCAGAATTCCTAATGTCTGCTAAAACAGGGCAACAGCAGCTTTCCTGGCATTGGCCCAGGCTCTTCCCACAGCCAAGACCTCCCCTCAGGGCACTTTCTCACCCTCAAGTCCCCACTGGACACGCCTCCCTCCTCAGCTCCTTCTCCTTCCTGGCTCCCTCTGTCTCCCACATCACCCCTTACTCTGCACCCTTCTGGACTCTTGCTGTCTCTCTGGGCATCTCTGTCTCTCCCTGGGTCTCTCTGCCTTTTTGCCTCCCTTTATCTCTCCCTCTGTCTCTCTCTGTCTCTCTATATCTCTCTGTCTCTCTGTCTCTCTCCGGGTTACTGTTATGCTCTGGGTTTCTGCATCTCTTCCTCTGTTTCCCTCTGTGTCTCTTCATCTCTCTGTCTCTGTCTGTCTCTCTCCCTCCCTCTCTCCATGTCTCTCTGTGTGTCTCTCTGTTGCCCTCTCCATTTCTCTCTCCCCCTCTGTCTCTCCCTCCCTCTCTCTCTCCTCCCTGCTCTCTCTCCATCTCTCTCTCCCTCCCTCTCTGTCTCTCCCTCCCTCCCATTCTCTCTCTGTGCCTCTCCATCTCCCTCTCCATTTCTCTGTCTCTCTCTCTCCCTCTCTGTCTCTCTCCCCACCTCTGTCCTCCTGGAGTCTGTGTTCCATTCCCCTCTCGCGCAGCTGGTGGCCGGCACGTTGGTGCAGACCCTAAAGCCCTCCAGGGCAGGCTGTGTGCTGAGTCCCAGTCTTTGTGTTGGGCTCCAGGTCTGCCCCTGGAGGGTCTTTCTCCTGGCCCCCAACCCCACAACTTTTGTCTTCTGTTTCTCAGTGCCTGTCTCTAGAATTAAATTCCATTTCCTTCCAATCCATGGGTGAGTGCTGCTGTGCGTGTGGTGCCCGCACGCCTGTGTGTGTTCACACATCTGTCCCTCTGTCCACCTGCCTTGGTCAGGCCTGCTCTCCAAGTCTCTCTGAGTCACTCATTCAAATGCCAGCCAGGGAGCCCTCCTGTGCGCCAGGAGAGGGGCTGGGGGCGCCATCGCCAGTGATAAGAATGACTGTAGTGCCATCGGAGAAAACGTTCCTGGCACTGGCCAGGTGCACAGCCTTTGGAAGAGAAGCTAGTGGCAGCTCCATGTCAGAGAGGAGGAAACTGACGCTCAAGGGTGAGGATGAAAGCAGCGACCCTGGAGGGAGACTCAGACCTACCTGCTCCAAATCCACACTCCATGCCCCTCTCTGATGTCCTCCTGCCCTGTACTGAGCTGGAGGCCTTGGGGAGAAACTGAGGCAGAGACGGGGTACAGCTAGTTCGGGGTCAGAGTTTAGGCTGGGAACCTCATGACAGTATGGGACTCTTATGGGCCACTCCATCCCTCTGGTGACCATTCCCACCCCCACCCCCCAGGGCCTCTCAGCCACACTGTGAAGTCACTGCAGGCTAGTGGAGGGGTCCCAGGCAGAATCCAGGCCTGCAATGACAAAGCCCAGGCCAGGGCAAGGGGGCAAGGAGGAGACAGGACCTCAGGGAGATGTTTGGGGTTCAGAATGGCAGGAAGCAGGACACTCCGGCTTGGGTGGCAGAAGCCAGGGGTCAAGCAGGGGTCCCACTGCGTGCTGACAACAGGTAATTGGTGCTCCCACGGCACGGCCCACTTCCCAGCCCCTATGAGGGTAGAGCAAGAGGGAAGCTCCTCCGTGGCCAGTCCCCTGGTCCCCTACCCCCTCATCTCCCGGGCCACATGAGGAAAGCTCCTGGAAACAGAACCGTTTCCTGCTTCCACTTGCTGCTAGGAGCTGTGTCCTCTGCCTACACCGCCCCACTCCGCTCCTGGAGGCTCTGTGCCATCCTTTAGGAACCCAAAGACAAAGGGATGGGGACAGGAAAAGGGACTGGGGGCCACAGGCAGGCACCTAGCACAGTTATCCCTGCATCCCGAAGCGGGCAGAGGAGGAAGGAGGAGGGAGGAAGGGCGGAGGACGCAGGGTCTCTTTCTGTCTCTCTCTCCCCCCAACTATTTCTTTCTAGCTGCTTCCCCCCCCCCACACACACACACACACACGCACTCACACCCACACGAAGGGAGAGAGGTAGGAGACCCTCAAACAGACGGACCTTCCCAACAAAGACATTCAGATGGGCTGACGAAGACACACAGGGGTGCCCCAAGTGGGGACCCCCAAATGTTTCTGAAGGAATGAATAAGAGAGTAGAGAGTGGGGTAGAATCTGCAAAGAAAAAGCGAGAAAAACAGTGCACAGACACAAGGCAAAGATAATGAAAAGCTCCCCAAAATGTCGGCGACGGCTCCTCTCTCCCTGGGAGTTGGGAGCACAGGGATTTTTATTTGTCTTCCTCTGCACATTCTTTTTGGTATTTTCCACCTTTTCTACAGGGAACACATATGACATCTGAAACCAAAGGAAAACAATAAATGTCATTTCTGAAAGAAAGGAAATGTTCGCAGAGGGGAACAAAAGCTGGCAGGGCTGCAGAGGCGGTGAGGGAAGGCGGGAGTACATGCAGCCTGGCTCACACCCACCCACCACACACACACAACCCTCAGCGCCCACACTCACACACACACCACACACACACACACACACACACACACAGCCCCTTCTTCAGGCTCACAGCAGGAGCGGCGAGAGTGAAATTCCAGAAATCTCCAGGAAAAAGGGTGGAGAAGAGGAGGAAGGAGAGGCAGCCAGGAAGCCTGGAGGTGGAAGGACAGACAGACACACTCACTCACCCCCGCACAGGCACACCTCAAAGGGACACGAGCAATAGGCACCAGCACCCTGTTACTCCTGTGGGTGGTGGGTGCAATGTTCATGGTTTTTTTTTTATTACAAAGGTAATAAAGCTCTCTGTGCTCACGGCAGATAATTTAGAAAGAAATGATGCTCCATCTTTGAATGAGCAAAAGAAATGATGAATGGGGGTGACCCGGGGGAATAGAGGGAGAGCGAACTATGAAGAAACCACAGAGAGGAGGCGAGGGAGACAAAAGTGAGTGGAGGGACACACACACGCGCGCGCGCACACACACACACACACACACACAGAGGATGCAGTGAAGGGCAAGATGGCAGTTCACGAAGGTGCAGAGAAAGGGAGGCGGCAGAAAGACAAGCGCACACACAGGCAGAAGGTGTCCAGGGAGCCAGATGTGTGGATACCCCGCCCCCCATATGCACCCCAGGAGCTCCCACAGGTAGGGACAAAATCCAAGGAACCTTCAGAGACAGCAGGAGGCACGCTCTCCCACAGACACACACAGTGTGGCCCGGCGTCTGCAGAGTGGGGTTTGTGAATGAATGAAAGTGGATGTGTGTGGGAATCCCCAGGGTGAGGGCAGAACGGAGACGGAGGAAGGCGCCCAGAGACAGAGGGGCTCAGAGACAGACCAGAGAGACGGTGACAGACTGAGAAAGGCAGAGTCCCTGAGAGGAACAGAGAGAGGGCCAGGCAGAGCCCAAGGGAAGAAGGGGCGGACAAGAGTGTGCAAGGTATGCACACCTGTGCATGGGGGCCCGGGCTACAGACCAACGTGGGGGCCACTTCCCAACCTACACCCAGAGGCCTCTCTTCTTGGGAAACGGAACCCACAGAGGCTTCGATTGTTTTCTCTGTATTTTCTAAACATCCTGTCATGAAGATGGAGCATTACCTTTGCAATCGGGAAAAAAAACGCATGGCTGGGAAGAAGAAAGAAGATAAAGAAACAAAACTGTCGCAGAGGGAGTGAATGGAGATGAAGTTACAGAGAACAGTGAGGGGAGGCCATCAGACGCACACGCATACACACACAATATGCACACATGCACACACGCACATATATACACACATCAACATGCACACATACGCTTGCATACACATGCATACACACACATACACACGTGCATACACACTCACGCATACACATACATACACACATGCGTGCATGCACACGCATGCACACGCACACAGGTGTGCGCACACGTGCATACACACTCATGCATACACATACATACACACATATACATACACATGTGTTTGCACATGGGGAAGGAGGAGCAGGGAGGCTGTGGGCAAGGAACGAGGAGGGGCTGGCAAGGTGGGGTAGGCCTCCAAGGCACTGAGCCCCAAACCCCAAACAGGCTGGCACCCACTGAGAAGGAGACTGGGGTGTGTTTGGGGCGACCTGCTGCTGTGTGCAGGCTTCCAGGGTTAGGTTGGGCTGCAGCCGGTTCCCCTTGAAACTACCTCGATCTGGGGGCAAGTCTGGGCTGACCTGGAGGCCGGGCAGGGAAAGGGTCTCCCAGAGGAAGGTCCCAGAGCCCAGGAGCACAAAGCGGGGCCCTGGGGAAGGAAGAAGAGTTTGCCAGAGGGGGAAGAAGGCATGGGGGAAAGAGGGCCGGGTCACCAGGCAGAGGACAAAGGCTGAGCACAAGGACAAAGGCTTGGAGGAGCAGAATATCCTGGTGTGAGACACGGAGACAGATAGCGGCAGAGACAGAGGACAGAGGACAGAGAAGGCAGGGGCCAGACGGGGCCTGGGCGTGGGCATCTGGAGGACTTGGGACAGGCACTGCTCTGGGTTTCTGACCCTGATGGGAGCGGAAGCAGAGGCCACAGAGGAAGCCAGCAGGGTCCTTCCAGGGAGAGTTGGGGTACCCGTAGAGAGGGAGGTGGGGATTGAGAGCTGTCGGGGGTGTGGAGGGGAGTTCAGGAGTCCTCATGATGGTTTGTGGATGGGGGAGGGGCAGGCCAGCCCTGGCCTGGGCGAGTGGGCTGAGGGTGGGAACCTCCAGCTCTGGAACCAGGGACCAGGTGTGACCAGAGGGTGGGTTTAGCTCTGTGGCCTCCTGGGAAACATGGGGGATGTGGGGATCCCTCAGGATGGAGCTCCAGGAGCAGTGAGACCCAGCTGGAGGCAGCAGTGAGAGGGCAAGACCCCAGGATGGACCCCCCCCTCCCAGGGCCCCCAGCAGGGTAGGGGTAGGCAGAGGGAGGGGAAAGAGACACACTCACAGACACACATAGACACAAACACTCAGAGACACACAGACACACACACATACACACAGACACACTCAGAGACACACACAGACACACATAGACACATTCACAGACACATAGACACACACAGATACACACACACAGACACACATAGACACACACAGACACACACTCAGAGACACACACAGACATACACACAGTCACAGACACACACACACGGACACATAGAGACACACTCACAGACACACAGACACACACAGAAACAGACACACACTCAGAGACACAGACCACAGAGACACATACTCCAGAACACACACAGACACACACTCCGACACAGAGATACACACTCAGAGACACACACACACTCACAGACACACAGAGATACTCAGAGACATACATAGAGACACACACACAGGATACACACGCAGACGCACATACAGACACACAGATACACAGAGACACACAGAAATACACACACACAGACACACACAGAGATACACAGAGACACACGGAAATACACACTCACGGACACACAGAGATACACACTCAGAGACACACACACTCAGACACACACAGACACACACAGACACACAAAGATACACACTCAGAGACACACACAGAGACACATACACAGAAATACACAGACACACAGACACAGAGATACACACAGACACACAAACACACATGCTCACAGACACACACACAGATACACACTCAGAGACACACACACAGACACACACAGATGCACAGGAGTCCAGAAGAAGTGGGAGAAGACGGAGCCTAAGAGAGGAGGAGGAAGGGAAATACGTGGCATGAGCAGAGTCAGACATGGCACATCTGGAAAAATTGAGAAGGGAGGAGAGAGGCCAAGAGATGGAGAGAGAGGGAGAGAAGAACAGGAGCAGAGAGAGACAGAGAGAGAGGCTGAGAGACAAAGAGAGAGACAGAGAGAGTCTGAGAGATGGAGAGAGACAGAGAGAGACTGAGAGATGGAGAGAGACAGAGAGATGCTGAGAGATGGAGAGAGACAGAGAGAGACTGAGAGATGGAGAGAGACAGAAAGAGACTGAGAGATGGAGAGAGAAAAAGAGAGGCTGAGAGATGGAGAGAGACAGAGACTGAGAGATGGAGAGAGACAGAGAGATGCTGAGAAATGGAGAGAGACAGAGAGAGGCTGAGAGATGGAGAGAGACAGACAGAGAGGCTGAGAGACAGAGAGAGAGACAGCCAGAGAAGAACGGGAGCGGGCAGTGAGTAGCAGGCACTGGGAAGCTGCCCACCACCTCCCTTCCTTCCCTCCCAACCTCTGTCTCTCTGACAGCCAGGGCAGATTTCAGTAACGCCTTAGAGACAGAGAACAGGCTGGAGGCAGGGGAAGAGCCAGAGAAACACAGACACGCACACACACACACATGCACACACTCACACATGCACACACACACACGTGCCCGGCCAGCACACGGGAGCGACTCGAGGGGTGCTGCCTGAAGGAGGGAGTGGATGCGGTGACTCACAGAATGAGCACAAAAGCCAGACCCCACAGAGAGGGGGCCAGGCGGGGGTTTGGTGTTTTGTGTGTGTGTGTGTGTGTGTGTGTGTGTCTCACATGCTCAAAGAATGACAATGACCTCCAGGGCTAGGGCAGAGAGAAAGCAAAGAGTACAGTGTGATGAGATAGACGGATGGACAGACAGACAGACTGACTGAGAGAGGGCACTGGGGGGCACTGTGACACACACACAGGGCAAAGTATTTGATGCCCAAAAGGAGCAATGAAGCACTAATGCTCCAGTGGGGGAAGGCGTTGCAGAAAGACAGTCAGACACACACAGTAGGGAGGAAACTGGGCGTGGGACACTCAGAAGAGGAGCAGGAAGACAGAGAGGGAGAGGAGGAGGGGCCGAGGGGCCAGGACACAGGACCCCTCCTCTCATCCTCCAGAGTCCCTCTCTATAGCCGCCTGGGGGGAAGCCGCTCCTGGGCCCAGGGGACTCAGAGCCGAGTGGCTCACGGCCTGGCCTGACGGACAGATGGGACACCATCAGCACACGGTGCGGCAGGAGTGCTCCTGGAAGCCCCTTCCCTCAGGAAGCCACGGTGGCAGGGGAGACACGGACTCTGCTTAGGGGTGGGAGGCACGGGGAGGGGAAGGCGGGGACAGTCCCCCAGTCTGCAGGGGGAGGTGACTTGGAGCCAGATGCCCGATCACCGGGGCAGGTTGGGAAGGGACACCTCACACAGAGAGTTTGCAAGGGCCAGGAGGGGTGAGAATGTGTGTGAGGGCGGGGTGGTGTCTGAGATGACAGGCCATCTGGGTGGCCGGTGGCTGGTGTGGGGGTGACAGAGAAGGGGTGAGGCTTGAGAGGCAATGGGGGTTGAAGCATGCAAGGGTTTGACGCCCAGGCTAACGCCTGGACGGCGCCCGCGGGATGGAGGGAGCCCAGGAAGGGTTGAAGCAGCCAGGGACACATGGCCAGAAGTGCTTGAGAGGCAGCCACGGGCTCCATGTGCACACTGGGAAGGGGAGGACGGAGCTGGGTGTGGCCTCCCTGGGGACTGGGTGAATGCGGGGAGGGATTTCCACTGCATCCTGGCCAGACAGAGCTCAGAAATGAGATTGTTCATTCAATCAAGCCCCTTCTACATGCCAGGCGCTGTTCTAGGAGCTGGAGACGCAACACTGGACGACACAGACATGGGCCTGCCCTCATGGGGCTTACAGCATAGTGGCAGAGATGATAGCGTGAGAGACTGAAACTAAGCCAGAAATCAACGTGTAAGAAGATGGCAGGGAGTGATCAGTGTTATAAAGACAAACAGCAGCGTAAGGGGAAATAGAGTGACAGAGACGCATTCAGATGGTGTGGCCAGGAAGGGCCTCTCTGGGGATGGGCAGTCCAGGCAGCGGGAACAGCCTGTGTATCGAAGGCACAGAAACGGCAGGGCAACTGCAGCACAAAAAGTGGCGGGGTCTGTGGGCGGCCGAGGAGGGCGCAGGCTAGAGCCAAAGGGCCTTCCCTGAAGGTCGGGTGAGGGCCTTGGATCCGCTTCCAAAAGGTAAGGCTCCTGGAGGGAATCGGGGCTCTGGTGAGGACTGAGGAACATGTCAGGGCCCTGCCTGGCTCTGCCCAGCCCTGCCCCGTAGGAGTTTGTGGGTGCAGGGCTCAGGTACACCTTGAAAGTTCCAGACAAACTCACTCAGCAGCAGGAAGGCCACCAGAGGGGCGAGGGTGGGAGCTCCACGGCACAGACAGAGGCCTGACGCACGCGGGAAGGGGAAGAAAGCTCCAGAAAGGCTCAGAGGGAGAGAGAGAGGGGCTGGAGAGCTCGGAGCGGCGAGGCAAGGCTCCCTACACCGCCAGGGGCTCCCAGATGATGCACACACCAGGCCCACGCAGGGAGAGGGTCTCAGCTGCGCTCTGTGACGCAGGCCTCGTGCCAGGCAAGGCAGTGACAAGCAGATCCTGACAAAGCCTCCAGGAGGGGACTCAGGGAAGACGAGGGGGAGACGGACAGAGAGAGGGGAGTCGTGATGCCTCCAGAGCCCCCAGAGAGGGAAGGAAGGACACATGGATGGTATCACCCAGACAGACCCCTGCACTCAGGGAGTTCCCCCAACTCATCTCTGCACCCAGGCAGGACTGGCCAGCAGCCCCATACACCGAGACAGACACACAGACAGCCCCCTACAGACAGCTGCCATGCTGCAGGCCTCCCTCCACACCGGCAAAACCGGCCAGCCAGAAACCCACTCCAGGACACACAGACCACCACACACACACCCCAACACAAGAAACACACACACGCACAAATCAGACGCCAGGACTGCCCAACAGCAGAATGCACACACACACACATCTCTCACAGACACGAAGACAGAGGGACAGGCAGACCAGATACGCAGCGCTGACAGACAGAGACAGACAGACAGACGGGGACAGGCCCGCAGACCCTCCCTCAGACAGGCCGAAACACCCCACTGCAGTGGAAAGAGTTGGGTGGGACAACAGGAGGCAGGAGGAAAGAGAGGGGTTCACTAGAAGAGAGAAGTCACAGCTGAGGAGGAGCGTATGAGCCTACGGCCCGCGGCCCAGCACACTCCACTGGAGTCTCCCCACCAGACCAGGGACCAGGGCCGCGGATCTGCCTCCGTATCCCTAAGTCCGCCCCCTGTGGGTGCTGGGTCAGGGAGCATCTACCAAAGGCACGACCAAATTTGCCTGCTGTGAGCCAAGTGCAGGCCAGAGCACTGCACGGGCTGCTGCACTGCAGGAGGTGACAGGTGACAGAGACTCCAAGGAGGGGACTAGAGCACAGCCCAGGAGGGGACATGAATCCCAAGGCAAGGTGCTGGGGAAGGGACGGGGCGAGACCCATTGGGGGACCACATGGACCGGACGTGGGCGGGGAGGGGAAGCGGACCAGCCCAGGGTCTGAGCTGGGTGCTGCCAGGTAGTGGGCATATGAGGCGGGACACCCCAGGCTTTGGCAAAGAGGGGTGTGTGAGTCCATCGTGAGGTGCCCATGGAATGTCCGGAAGGTTGTATGCAGGGAGGGCTGGAACTCAGGGGATGGAGGTGGGGTGGTCCCTACAAAGGGGGAGCTGAGCCCCAGAGTGGGGACAGTCACCAGGCGTGGTGGGAAGGGAGAAGAGGACAAGGAACAACAGTATGTTAGAAGGCCAAGGCTCGGAGAAGGAGTCCTCTGGAAGCAGGGCAGGCTTAGGGGACCAATGTGTCTACAGTCAGATGCCAGAGAAGTTGAGGAAGATGAGGACAAGGTCATGTCTGCAGGGAGGTAGGCGAGGTGCTGGTGAGAGCCATGCGGGAGGTCAGGCACAAATCGCAGCTGGAGTGAGTGAGAAGGAGGTACGGACAGCAAGACAGCTCAGGATGTGGAGGGGAGGGATGGGGTAGGGGCTTGAAGGGGGCTGGGGGTTGCTCTGCAGCGGAAGAGATGGACCGTGATGAGTGGACAGGTCTGGGCTCGGCTCGGAGATCCTGGCTAGAGACCCCGATGTTGGCAGCTTATGTGTGGAGCAAAGGGAGTTGGCAGAAGGGAATGGGGGGATGCCAGGGGCAGGAGGAGGCGGCCAGAGCTGGCATGGAGACGGACAGGCCGGCACATGCCCAGGGTGAGAGCCAGCCTGCGCCCATCCCTCAGAGACAGCGAGGGGAGGAAGGAGGGGTGGAAGAGCCAGAGAGAGACACGGGGCTGGGCTACCCTGGAACAATCTCGATGGAGCCCCCAGGAGTGGGAGAGAAAGGGAGGAAGGCAGAGGTGGGGGAAGGAGAGCGAGGGGGGAGGTGGTGGGCAATCGGGGAGACGCGCGCACACACACACACACACACACACTCCTACAGGGACGCACAGAATAGAAGCAGAATTCAATAACAACTTGGAGAGGGAGCGGAGCGGGAGAGAGCAGGCAGGGAGGGTAGTAGGGGAGGGAGGTAGGCACACGCGGAGCCCGTCTTAGGAGGTGTTCAATAACCGCTGATGGAGCGCAGGAACAAAGACAAGGGGCTCCCAGAGGGAAGCAACAGCTGAGAAAGTTGCAGGATAGACAGACAGACAAAATGTCACGCATACACACAGTGAGAAACACCCCGAGCCTCAAGGGGCGGGTGGGAGGGAGCCTGCACTCGAGGGCCAGGACGGTCTGTTTCTTGCTCCGGGTGGTGGAGGCACAGGTGCAGACACATGTGAAATTCATCAAAGCTTTTCATTTCAGATTTGTGCATCTTACGATATGTAAGTTAGATCCCAATTCTTTGAAATGAGAGGAAGAGGATAAAAGGTGGAAGGAAAGGTGAATGCGTCAGACAGGGAGACAGGAACAGACACACACACACAGGTACCAGTGATGCCCAGGGAAGAACAAAACCCGACCAAGTCAGAGGAAAAAGGAAATAAAATGGAACCTGACCAGGAGAGAAAGACCGACTCCTAGACCCCCACATGGAAAAGGAGAGGCCCCTGGGAGACCTGAATTGGGGGTAGGGGATTTATAAGGCAGGAAGGAAATCGCCTTGAGCTAGAGGGGGGCATAAGAGAGTGGCAGGGGAATGGCCCGGCAGGGGTGACCTGCTGGAAGTGGAGTGAGGCTGCATGAGGCCCCCTGATGAGGGAAGGAGCCAAACAGGATGCCAAGCCCAACGGGCCTTGAAGGGTTTGGGGCCGGGTGATGGGTGTGGGGCCCAGGAGGCAGCTTTGTTCTCAGGTCCCGGTCCAGAACCCACAAGCGGGGAGGGATGGAGATGGAGAGGTGAAGAGGGTGGGCGCTGAAATGGCCCCGCAGGAGGGTGCAGGGGGGCGGGTGACAAGAGTGCAGGCCCAGGAAAGGGGTGGGGAGGTAGAAAAGGGCCCACAAATAACTCTTGGACAGACAGACAGATGGATAGATGGATGGATGGACAGAGCACCCTCTCTCATCTGCAGAGGGAAAGCAAAGCCTCAGAGATGATGCAGAAAGAGACAAGGAGAGGTTTAGGAGAAGTGGAGAGAGAGATGGATCCGGGCAGGTGTGCAAAGGTCAAGATGCAGCCAGAGAGAGCAAAGGGAAGAGGAGATCTGTCTCTCTGTCTCTCCCCCTACACCACACACACACGCGCGCGCGCGCACACACACACACACACCTGTGTGCACAACTCACAAGAGCTGTTCTGCATGTGTGGACCAAAGGAAAGTACAAAGGAAATTACCCCAGGGTGAGAGTGAAGGATTAGGTACAGTGGCAGAGATGATGCCCTGACAGCTTGTCACATACTGGTTCACGTGCACAGACCTCGCCCTGTGAACCCACACACATACAGCCAGGGCAGATTTCAGAGTGCCTTAGAGACTGGCGAGAACAGGTGGGAAGGAGGGAGAAGTGGAGACACACACACACACACACACAGCCCAGTACACAGGAGAGATGTAGAGGTGTTGATTGAACTGAGGGACAAGTGCAAGGGACTCAGAATGAACACAAAAGCCAAGCCCTGCAGAAAGGGGGCCAGGGAGGGGCTGCTGTGACCCTCCACACACACACACACACACACACACACACACACACATGCACATTCTCTCTCTCTCTCTCTCTCACACACACACACACACACACACAGGCGGGAGCAGCTGCTCCGAGACGAGTGTTTTGGGAAGAGCTGTGAAAGTGAAAGAAACAAACCCTCAGCCGATGGCAGCGACCCCAACGCTGGAGCAAGGGGAGGCAGCTGCTGCCCACGCCGGAATCCCACCAGCCTGCAGCCACGGTAGGCAAGAGCCTCGGGGAACAATGAGGAGCCAGACCTGTTAGCTGCACATACACATACTCACGCCTGGGAGGACCCTGTGAGTGTGTGTGTGTAGGGGGGCGCTTAGGAAATGAATGGGAGGTGGAGTCATGGCCAAAACTGTTGGAAAGAGAGCAAGAACACACACACACTCATTCATACACATTCACAAGACGCACACATACACACACTCACACACATAAACACACAGTCATGTACACACATACACACACACATGCACTCACACGCACACTCAGGTACATACACTCACATGCACACATATACACAATACATACACACTCACATACACATACACATGTACACTCACACAGGCACATACACTCACATGCACACTTACACACACACCCCACACACACACATACACGACTTTGCAGCCACTTCCTAACGGGAACAACTAATTAGTGCCTGAGTGGGCTAGGCTAAAACCAACAGGCAAAGATAGAAACAAAGAGACAAAGACTCAGACAACAGAGAAACAAAACAAAAGACAGAGGGAGAAAAACAGACACAGAAACGGAGCCAAAGACAGGAAAAGAGAGAGAGAAAAGGAGAAAGAGAACGACCCAGTGAGAGAAGTGTGCCCCGGCCACCAGGGCTGCCTCATGGGAATGGCTCAATCAGGATTTTACGAAGGAGCAAGTGAAAGGAAAGGAAAGGAAGGGGGGAAGGGAAGGGAAGGGAGGGGAGGGAAGGGAAGGGAAGGGAAGGTAAGGGAAGGGAAAAAGAAAGGAGGAGAGGCCTCGATGGGTGGGAGGGGCATCAGCACAGCCGTCGCTGGATGCAGGCAACCGCAAGGGACCGCAGGCCACGGCCACACCACACACAGGCCGTGCTGCACACACACTGTACCACATCCACACCACCCAAACCATGCAATACACAACCATGCAACACACGCATCACACACCACACACACCGCAGACCACACTCACACCTGGACTGTGGTAGAGAAGGTGTGGGGATTGGGGGGGACAAAGGGAGGGTGAGGAAGGGGGGACCCAGACCTGAGCATGCCACGTGCACACACACACTCATACACAGACACACTCACACACACAAATGCAGGAAGCCCAGAGAAAAGACAAAATGCCAGCAAAACCTCAGAGAGGAGAGGGAAGGAGACAGAAGGCAAATACAGGAGAGACAGGTGCCGGCTGTGCACTTGTCACCCTCTCTTGGTGTCTGTCTGTCTATATGTCGGCCTGGCCCTCTCTCTCACTCCCTCCCATACACACACACACACACACACACACACACACACACACACACCCTGCTGGGCAGGAGCAGCTGCTACATGGTGTTCTAGGAAGAACCAAGGGGGAGAGGGAAAACAACCACCACCCATAGCAGTGACCCCAATGCTGGAGCAAGGGGAGGCGGGCAGGCAAAGGGTCGGGAGCAGGGAGCATGGCCCACCCTGGAAAGCTCACAGCCTGCAGATCTGGGAGAGCAGGAGACCTGGGGAAAGATGAGGAACCAAGACCCCTGCTCCCTGGCAGACACGCCAACGCACAGACACAGGGACACACACAGGTGTTTGTTGCAGGAATGAATGAATGAATGAATGAGGGGACCCCGGAGAAAGAGACAAACCTGTTATGGTGAAAGAGATGAACATAAGCCAGGCACAGTGGCTCATGCCTGTGATTCCAGCACTTTAGGAGGCTGAGGTGGGCGGATCTCTTGAGCCCAGGAGTTCAAGACCAGCCTGAGCAACAGAGTGAGACCCTGTTTCTACTAAAAAAAAAAAAAAAATAGCCGGGCATGGTTGTGCACGCCTGTAGTCCCAGCTACTCAGGAGGCTGAGGTAGGAGGATCACTTGAGCCCAGGAGGTTGAGGCTGCAGTAAGCCGTGATTGCACCGCTGCATTCCAGCCTGGGAGACAGAGCAAGACCCTGTCTCAAAAAAAAAAACCAAACAAACAAACAAACACAGAGAGATGGACACAGAGATGAAGAGGGAGGATGTGGCGTGCGTGTGCATGCACACATGCACACACACATACACACACACGCATCGTCTTGCTTTAATGCACTAACACAAGGACAAACTGCAGAGGCAAAATGAAGAAGACAGACACAGAGAGGGTAGAAGGCGGGGAGCATACACAGCCTGCCCGGCATGGCATTCGCCCAGGCCTGGCAAGAGGAGGGGATCAGTGAATCTATAGCCCATGCACCATACTTTTGGGACCCCAAGAAAATGTTCCAATTTCTTTTAAAATCAGAAGAAAAACGAACTTTTAACTCAAAGAAAATGTCTCAGTATGTCCTATTAATATATTCGTGTTGATACCAGTGCTATCGTAACATGTAATTTTTAATTTTCTTTTCTAAGGAAAGGGCCAAGGTGTCTAGGCCCACGAAGGTCCAAATGGGACTCCAGCTGGGTGCCCAGCCTGCGATAAGACCAAGGCCAGGACAGATCTCACTGCAGGGAGTATCAGAGACAAGGGAACCCAGCAAAGGGGGTTATCAAGAGGGCTTCCCAGAGGAGGTGGGATTTGCAGGCTGAAGAAAGGAAAGATGTCGGCCAGGTACAATGGCTCATGCCTGTAATCCCAGCACTTTGGGAGGCTTAGGCGGGCAGATCATGAGGTCAAAAGATCAAGACCGTCCTGGCCAACCAACATGGTGAAACCCTGTCTCTACTAAAAATACAAAGATTAGCTGGGTATAGTGGCGCACTCCCGTAGTCCCAGCTACTCGGGAGGCTGAGGCAGGAGAATCGTATGAACCCGGGAGGCAGAGGTTGCAGTGAGCCAAGATTGCGCCACTGCACTCCAGCCCGGACAACAGAGTGAGACTCTGTCTCAAAAAAAAAAAAGAAAGGAAAGATGTCAGGCAGAGGCACCATGAGCAATGCCTGCATGGTGGGGATCAGGATGACACAGGTCAGCCTGTGCACAGGCAGGTGGGGGAGACACAGGGCTCTGAGTGGGGCCAGAAGTGGTAAGAGGAAATGAAAGCCCACAGCAGAGCGTTAAGTGAGAGAAGGCTGAGCCACCCAGGGCATGTGGCTCTGTGCCAGAGGTCCCCCTGCTGACGGAGTGGGAGTGGACAAGTGAGTTGAGTTTTCGGAGGTTGCAGGTAAGATGTCCAGGGATGGTTGCCAGGGAAATTGTCCAGGAGGCAAGCCTTGAGGCTGAGGCTGGACCAGGATGGGGAGTGAGGAGAAGAACACCCCCAGATGCCAAGTCCAGGAGCCTCTGGGACAGGGGAAGTGAGGTGAGCAAGAGATTCATGCACAGACACACATGTACACAGGTGCATACACGTACACAGATGCAAACACACACTGACACGGTGGCAAGAACAGGAGGGAGGGAGAAGGGGAAGTCAGGTGGGAGGCAGATGGACAGCCACAAAGGCACAGAGATCTGGATACATGGACACATGCACACGTGCCCACACACACAACCTGGGGGTGGAACAATCAAAGAAAGAGATGAGCATTTAATGAGACCACAGCAAGAGGCAGGCGGGAGGCAGAGGCTGACACACAGACGGACAGATGGACACGGCCCCAGGATCCCAGGAGACACGCTCCAAGGGCTGGGTGGGAAAAGCCCCAGAAAGGGGAGGGCTGCGGGGAGTGAGAATCGGGATGGACCTCACAGACGACAAACAGATGGACAAAAAGCTTCTCTCCCTGCCGCTCCCTCCCCGCCACCAACTCCAGCCCCTCTGTCTCCATCCCCTTTTCCTGTCTGTCCTGTCTGAATCTCTGAATCTCTGCCTGTCTCTTTTTCTCTCTATGAATCACAGCGTTTCAGAGCCTCTGAGAGAAAAATGGGAAAAGAAGACAGAGATGATAGAAAATGCAGAGTGTGCGTGTGTGTGTGTGTGTGTGCATGTGTATGCGCGCGTGTGTGTGTGTGTCTGTGCATGCGTGCACCCAGCATGAAGTCTGGTCTGGAGAATGTAACTAGGGAGGGAGGAAGAGAGGGGACGAGAGAAGCAGAGGATGAACAAAGAGACTTTCGAAGCTCATAGGAAAAAGCCTGGGAGGCAACAGCAGCAGGGACACGCATATGCCGCACACCCCTACACACACCACACACCACACACCACACACACCCTGCATGCACCCTGGAGACATGCCCCAGACTCCAGGCGGGAGGGGTGGAGCAGGGGGTGTGAAATATGGTTGGTTGGTTGGTTTGTGTTTTCCTGTATCTTTCCTATTTTGCCAGAAAGAATATATATTCTTTTTTTGTCATGGGGGAAACATTTTAGTTTTCTCAAAAAGAAAAAAATGCATGCAGAATTAAGAGTAAAACCAACTGAAGGCAGAAAGGAAAGGCTGAGGGGGCATGGAGCCCTGGGGTCTCATATCCCCGGGAGACACCTGGACACTACACAGGGCCGAAGGAGGGGACAGCGGGGCCAGGAGACTGTGGCCCAGCAGAGTGGATGACATCTCTCGCCTCTGCACTCCATCTCTGTGTGTCTATCTCTGTCTCCCTTACACACCGAGTCCAGCACAAGCCAACTGGACACAGGCCCAGAGTGAGGAAGTCCCAACCGGAGAAGGAGCCAGAGACAGGAGTGGGAGAGGCAGAGCGACTTTCCCGCCTGCCTTCCCTGAGCAGACATTACCAATGTGGCGGGACCTGGGATCACTAGGGAGAACGTCACCCAGTCCCTCAAGCGCTTGTTCTAGTGGGCGGGCTGACACGCTCTGCGGATTCCAGGGCGTCAGGGAGAGCTCCCAGGGCCGGTCTGTGGCCTCGGAGATGTGCTTTGCAGGATGAATAGGAGTTTGCCAGGTTGTAGAGAGGGAAGAAAGGGCATTCTCAGCGGTGAAAACAGCCTGGGCAAAGGCATGGAGGTGTGGGAGGGCCTGGGAAGAGTCAGAGATGTGAAGAGGTGGATGGGGAGAAAAATCTGAGAGGCAGAAAGGGAGGGTGGGGACTAGAGAAAGAGAGACAGCACCCAGGCAAAGAGGAAAAGAGACAGAAATTAGCAACAGTGAGACAGAGAGACACATAGAGAAAGAAAAGGAAAATCAGCCAGGCATAGTGACTCACACCTGTAATCCCTACACTTTGGGAGCCGGAGGGGGCAGATCACCTGAGCCCAGGAGTTCAAGACCAGTCTGGGCAACATAGCAACACCCCGTCTCTACAAAAAAAAAAAAAAAAAATTAGCCGGGCTATGAGGGCACACAGCTGTGGTTCCATCTACTCGGGAGGCTGAGGCAGGAGAATGGCTTGAGCCCAGGAGGTGGAGGTTGCAGTGAGTCACTGCACTCCAGACTAGGGGCAGAGCAAGACTCCATCTCAAAAAAAGGGAGGGAGGGAGGGGAAAGGGAAATAAAGAAAAAGAAAAGGAAAGAGAAAGAAAGAAAAAAGCAAGGAAGGCGGGGTGTGGGATTTTTAAAAACCTACATATTAGGTGCAACGTACGCTACTCGGATGACGAGTGTACTACAAAATTCACCCCTACATAATTTATCCAAGTAACCAAAAAACCACTTGTAACCCCAAAAGCTACTGAAATTTTTAAAAATTAAAAAAGAAGAAACAGGAAATTGATGTAAGGCCAGAGAGGGCTGGAGAGGCACTGACAGACAAGAGAGAGGAAGAGAGAGAAAGACTCAGATGGACAAGGAAGAGGAGAGAGGCCGCGCGGTGGCCGGTCCCTCCTGTCCCGGCGCGCGGGGTTGGGGTTGGACCCTGCCGCGCCGCGCATGCGCATGCGCACGCCTGACCCGCCGCGGCAGCGCGGGCGAGCGCTTTGTCCCGGTTGCGCTCGCACGTGGCCCTGCGCCCCCGGGCACACGTGGGTCCCGCCGGGAGTGGCCAGCGCTGGGGGTGCGAGCCCAAGCTCACACGGGTCCACGGGCACACATGCTGTTCCCACCCACATCCACGTGAACCCAGCTGCACACCTCGGTGCCCACACACTCCAGGAGCCCACAGGCTCATGAAGCCCCTGGATCTGTGTTCACACAGTACACACACATTCTGCACACACAGCCAGAGCAAGCGGACCGGCTCACCTCATCGCGTTAATGCCCAAGCACACACATCTGGGACGCATTTCCATGAGCCCAGGCTCACAGACCACCTAGACAAGTGCTCACACACAAACATCCAAGCACCATGTCTGCGAACAAACAGAGCCCACGCACATACCCCCATGAACACAAAGGCACACGCATCCAGGTATACTCCCACCAGCAAGCAGAGAACACCTGCCACAACCTCACATCCAGAACTCCATCTCTACTCCTAAGACACACGCACACCCACACCCACACACACACACACACACACCCGCCCCCTGCGATCTCCAGATGCCACCCAGATGCCACCCTGACCTGGACACTATGATGTGTTTGGCTTGTGAAAATAATACTGAACAGAAAAATGTCCAGTTTTTGAAATTTGTTTTTAATTAAGCAATGTCGTGGCCAGAGTTGACTCCGGTGCACAGGTGTGTGATCTGATGTATATTTGTGTAAAATAAATGTGTTTGTATAGACGGTTGCAAATCAACCTTCAAGACTGTGTGCTTCGGTGGTGGGGAAGGAGGGAGGAGGGGAAGGGTCTTTGGATTTTTCTTCAGCGTTTTCAGGACTTTTGTGGATCGACCCAGCACCCCTGCCCTGCACTCCTAGGAAACACACGAAGAGCACACACAACGGTATTCTCGTCGTGTATTTGTGATCTCCTCTAGGCAGGCTTGACAGCCCCACCCACTCCCCAATGTCACTGCTACCATCCACCACGGACATTTGAGTCCTGAACTTGTCATGCTCAGGGAAGTCCTGTGATGTGCCTTGTCCTTCTCCCAGGTGCTCACCCCCTAACACAGGTGCAGATGTTCACAAACAGCCACATTCTGCCGTAGCTGTCTCCAATCTGATGTCACCCCTGCCTTGGCCTGAAGCCCTCCAGCTACTAGTGCTGCCCAAAGACCCCTCAAGGGGTAGTTTGTTCTCGCATTCCGCCCCATCTCGCTTTCCAGCACACAGTAGATGTTCAATAAACTGTTGATCAGATTCTGAGGTCTGTTTGTGTTTAATCAGACAATATGCAAAGTATTTACAACCAATTCTGGATACCCCCCCACCCCCCGCAAGTCTGGGCCTTGGAATTTCGGAGCCCCAGGCCCGGCCCAGAGCCAGGGGTCCCCCAGGCCTCTGCATAGTCATCTGAAATCTACAAAACACTGTTAAAAAAAAAAAAAGGACAGTATTAAGACACCTTACACAAAGGGCCTTAGGCAGTTGGAGAGGGATTTGAGAGCTCGCTGGGGTGAGTGAGCCCAGATTTGACTGGAATGGACGGGAGAAGACTTGGGTAATAAAGACGTATGAAAGGAAAAGTTGAAATTTCATAGGCAGGCACTGCTTGGCCTCCTTCCCCACTGGCAGGGCCTGGCTGGCTCAAGAACCCCTGGCAGTGGGAATGTTATTGCTATGATGAGGGGGCCATGGTGAAATGTACAACATGTTTGGGGGACGGAGCGGGGGGGACATTTTTACATGTTAAATATGGACGCACATGGAGACACGCACACATGCACACACATACACACACACAGGGACCCTTGGCAAGATGCCACAAACTGTCAGCTGCCCCTTTACAGATGGGCACACTGAGGCCCAGGGAGAATCCACCACACACCCAAAGGCCGAACAGAGCCAGAGCCCAGTCTCCTGATGTCCCAGGGCTAGGCTCACCATGTGTGTCCTGCCACAGGGCCTGGACCAGAGCTGAGCAGTTGCAGAGGCCATGGCCACATGTGGGGCAGACTCTGCAGCCCAGAGAGACAGCAGGGGCCACCCAAGGTTACACAGCCAGTCCTGGTGCATGGCAGTGGGTAACACGTCCTCTTTCACCCCCGCTTAGGCACTCTTTTCCCTCCTCATGAGTTAAAGGGTGCCGACTTGGGGAGGAGAACAGGGCCAGGAATTGAAATGCCACGGGACAAAGTACGGGGAAGGAGGCCAGGACCAGGGCCTCCTGGACTCTTGGCTCTTCTATGTCTGCTTGATTGCCTCCAGAGCCGAGGGGCTCGCTCCCTTTCATAGCCGGCTGGCTCTGAAGGTCAAACATCACCCACAAGCCGATTGAAGCCTCTCTCTCCACACCTGCACCTTTTACCCTGATTCCCCAGCTCAGCCCCACATCTGCCTCCATGCTGTTCCCAACAGCTGGGCTGAGCGGGCAGCGGCAGTGGGAATCTGCCATCTCGAATGCATCCTCAGACCCCTTGTTTCCTGGGCTGTCCCAGTCTTTCCATGATGCCTCCGACGAATTGTTGGTTCCTGAGGATGACAGAGGGAGCACCGGGTTCCAAGCCCGCCTCCACTCTGAACTGCTCCGTGGCCTTGGGCATGTCACATCCCCGCTCTCAACTGTCTCCCCATGGGTGAAATGGGGGCAAGGAAGTGATGATCTCGAAGGGTCCCTCAGGTCTAAGGAGGGCAGGGTTTGAGGGGGTACTCATCCCACCCACCCACCATCATCAGGCCAGGCAAGGCCTTGTGCTGCCCAGCCTGGAAGCAGCGGCAGAGGGTCTGTCTCGGCAGCCTCTGCCTACAGGTGTTTCCAGAATGGATGGCAAGGGGCAGGGTGGCAGGCAGGCGGGGCCAGGGGCCCATCGCTCCTCTTTGGAAAGGCTCTTTGGCCAGCTCTCGACATAGACCGGGGGTGGCACAGAAGTGGGGAAGGAGTTCAGTGAGCGGAGTAGGCTGAGGCTGGAAAAGGGCACCCTCAGCCCCGGCCCCAGCCCTTCTCCTGGTTCCTCTTCCAGAGACCCACAGAGCTCCAGGAGGGAGTGCAGGGAGAGGCGTGCGGCCACAGCGGGAGCTGGACAGAGTCACCGTGCTGGTCTCGCATACCCACCGCCCTCTCAGGCCACCCTAGGTCCAGAAGCCCCTTCCATGCCACCAAAGAGGAAGGGCCTCGCCCCTGGCAATTCAGCCCCACAGAGAGAGGACCAACAGCAGGCAGGCAGAGTGGGGCAAGCCCCGAGACAGGGGCCACCCAGCCCAGGATCCAAGCCGAGAAGCCGGTCTGGGCCCGCCTGTGCCTAGAGGTTCTCCCCGGGCTGGTACTGGGGCTCGGTGGACGTGAAGTAGTCCTCCAGGAAGGCCTGCAGGTACTCGAAGGTGGGCCGCTCCTCAGGCTCCTTCCGCCAGCACTGGCACATGAGGTCGTGCAGGGACTCGGGACACTCCGGCGGGCAGGGCATCCGGTAGCCCCGCTCCACCTGGTCCAGCACCTCGCGGTTCACCATCCCTGTGGGCAGAGCGAGGCATGGGGAGCCCGGCTCCGGTGAGGAAAGTGGGGTGGGGGAAGCTGATGGGGAGGGCAGCGAGGGCTTCCTGCCTAGGACAGGTTGGGAGTGACCATAGATAAGTCCTGTCCCCGAAGCTGAGAGCATGGACCATCGAGAGAGCCTAACATCAGACGCTCAACTTCTTTGTTTTACGGGTGGGGAAACAGGCCCAGCAGGAGTCATGACTTGCCCAAGGCCACCAGGGCAGAGGGATTCAGGGACCACAGACAGGCCATGAGGACCTTCTTACCAGGGTAGGGCACCCGTCCCTTTGTGGTGAGCTCAGTCAGCAGGATCCCGAAGGACCACACGTCCGACTTGATGGTGAAGCGGCCATAGAGGGCAGCTTCTGGAGCCGTCCACTTGATGGGGAATTTGGCACCTGCAGGAACGAGAAAGGTCAGGGCAGCTCTGACCTCCTGTCATGACCGCTCTGCTAGATAAGCACCATGAGGAATGACAGCTGAGGAAAAAACTGGGGCTCAGAGCGGGACGTGACCTGTCCCAGGCCAAGCGCGACATACCACACAGCCCCTGCCCACCTTGCCGCGCCGTGTACTCATTGTCTTCAATGAGCCGAGCCAGCCCAAAGTCCGCCACTTTGCACACCAGGTTCTCTCCCACCAGGATGTTGGCTGCACGAAGGTCCCGGTGGACGTAGTTCATCCGCTCCACGTACGCCATGCCTGAGGCGATCTGCAGGCGGAACCGTGGGAGCCTGGCTCAGGTGCCACCCATGCCCTCCCAGGGCCACAGAGCACTCTGGGGCTGGAGAGCCAACCACCCCTTCCCCACCCTCCCCACACTTCTTCAGGCAAGTGAGGTCAGTTCACAGTAAATGCTGTTGGCATCGAAAGCAGGAGCAGTGCTCTGCGGGAGTAGGGAGCACAGGGCACAGAGCAGAGGGCAGAAGGCAAAGGTCAAAGGGGAGGCACGAGATCCGATGCAGCCAGGAAAGCGAGGTGACCAGGGAAAGAGGCCCCAGCGGACCCAGACACAGATGAGTGCCAGGTCCTGCCTGCTGCCCAAGTCCCCTCTCTGAGCCTCAGTTTTCTCATCCGTCCAATGGGAATAACAGCCAATCCTCGTCACTCCTGGTCGTGATGAGGATTAAATGAAAAAAAAAAAGGCTTGTTGACCACTGCCTACAGCAAGCATGAACACGTCTGCTAAGCGACTAAATGACCTTTACAGAGACGACAACTGAGGCCCGAGGTCCCACAGTAAGTCAGTGACCCCTGATGCCCAGGTAAGGGCCTTCTGCTGCCCAGAATCACCCCTCAGGGCACCTGTAAGCAGACCTGGTAAATACGTGCGGCAAGATCAGTGAGTGTGGAGGCAATCAAGGCAGGCTTCTTGGAGGGGGCACTCAAGAGGCCAGAACTGGCTGCACCAGATGGGTCTGGGTGCTTGAGGACCAAGGGTGTGGGGAGGCGGGAGGGGCTGACTCACCTGAGCAGCCATGTCCACCAGCTGAGGCAGCCGCAGGTACTTGCCTGTCTCCCCCTTGAGAAAGTCCAGCAAACTCCCTGGGCAGAGAGAGACCCAGCTCCAGCTCCTGCCCTGTCCCTCTGCCAGGATGCAGTGATTCCCAAAACCCATCCTCCCAGGTGGCTGGCCTTGCTTTAACCAGCACAGCAGATTTTACGTAAACTCATCTCTGAATAAAGTCTCACTCAGTGCTTGTCACTCAAAAGGCAAGCAGGATGGGAAACAAGCAGAAGTCCACCTCCAGGTGAACAGGTAAACTGTGCTAATGCAGACAGCGGAGTCCCGCTCAGCAACAACAGGAACAAACTGCTGGGAGATGCAACAAGGATGCATCTCAGGCCGGGAGCAGTGGCTCCTGCCTGCAATCCCAGCACTGTGGGAGGCCGAGGTGGGAAGATCGCTTGAGCCCAATAGTTTGAGACCAGCCTGAGCTACACAGTAAGTCTCTGTCTGTACAAAAAATACGAAAAAAAAAAGTAGCTGGGCAGGATGTTGTGCACCTGTAGTCCCAGCTACTTGAGAGGCTGAGATGAGAAGATCAATTGAGCCTGGGAGGTCAAGGCTGCAGTGAGCTATGATCACGCCACTGCACTCCAGCCTGGGCAACATAGCAAGACCTCATCTCAAAAAATAAAAAATTGAAATGTAAAAAGTAAAAAAACAATGCATCCCAGATGTAAAAGATTCCATGTATGAAATTCTAGAATAAACAAAACAAATTTATAATGACAGAAAGCAAATCAGTGGGTGCTTGGGTTTGGGGCTGGAGGGTACTGTCTGCAAAGGGCATGAGGAACTTTCTGGGTGATGGAGATGTTATATATCTTCATTATGGTTAGGGGTACACAGTAAATCCAGTTGTTAAAACCCACTGAACTGAACACTTAAAAGGGGTGTATTTTATCATATGTAAACTATACCTCCAAAAAGTGGAATTTTGAAAAATAACTAATTAGTTTAAAAATTACTGTGGCTCACACCTGTAATCCCAGCACTTTGGGAGGTGGAAGTGGGAGGACTCCTTGAGCCCAAGAGTTCGAGACCAGCCTGGGCAACATAGGGTCCCATCTCTACAAAAAATAAAAAATTAGCTGGGCCTGGTGACACACACCTGTGGTCCCAGCTACTTGGGTGGCTGAGGTGGGAGAACTGCTTGAGCCTGGAAGGTTGAGGCTGAAGTGAGCTATGATTGCACCACCACACTCCGGCCCAGGCAACAGAGAATTTGGCTCTACTGCATTCCACCTTTGAAGATGCCCATTCTAGACATGAGAGGAAATGAGGCTCATGCTCCCTGCCCTGTCCGGAGTGCCCCTGCCCCCTGCCCCGGCCGCCCAGGACTCACCCTTGCTCATGTACTCCGTGACGATGTAAATGGGCTCCTCTGAAACCACAGCATACAACTGCACCAGCTTCTCATGCCTCAGCTTCTTCATGACCTGGGCCTCCTGCAGGAAGGCCTCTGGAGACATCGTGCCAGGCTTCAGGGTTTTGATGGCCACCCTGGTGGTACCGTTCCAGGTCCCTGTTGAGGAGGGATGCAGGCTGACTCAGTGGAGCCCCCCAACTCCTACCACACAGGGATCCAGGATCTGCCCACCTGGGCGCCAGTGTCAGCTGTGGCCTCCACAGCCATGTGACAAACCCAGTCAAAGCCTGGGCCCTTTCTGAGCCTCAGTCTCCCCATCTGTACAATGGGTACAATGACAGGGTGCTCCTCATGGCACTGTTACTAGGATTAAATGCTCAAGAACCAGTAGCTGTTGTCGGGACTGTGATTATTAAGAATGTCCAGGCTGGGCGTGGTGGCTCACGCCTGTAATCCCAGCACTTTAGGGGGCCGAGGCGGGTGGATCATTTGAGGTCAGGAGTTCAAGACCAGCCTGGCCAACATGGTGAAACCCTGTCTCCACTAAAAATACAAAAATTAGCTAGGTGGTAGTGGTGCGTGCCTGTAATACTGGATACTCGGGAGGCTGAGGCAGGAGAATGGTTTGAGCCTGGGAGGCAGAGGTTGCAGTGAGCCGAAACTGTGCCACTGCACTCCAGCCTGGGTGACAGAGTGAGATCCTGTCTAAAAAAAAAAAAAAAGTCCTAAAAAGCAGCTTATTAGCCTAGACAGATAGGGGACCAAGGTTCCAACTCAACCGGTGTCACTTCTGGGTTAGTCATGTTCCCTCTGAGCAGGACTTTGAACGTGCCTCATGTGTTAGCAAATGCAATGTGTACTGGTGGAAGCCAGGGGTGATGTGGAGCTGGCCCAGGGATTTCTAAGGCTGTTGCCAGAACAAGAGGTCACCTCTGGAGCCCACCCGCCCCCCAAAATGAGACACTGTCCTAAGCATGAGGGCTTGGGGGTCAGGCTGGCCAGAGCCTCTCACCTCCGCCTCCTGCCAGCGGAGAGACCATGGGAGAGTCAGTTCCCCTCTCTAAGCCTCAGTTATCTCATCTGGAAAATGGGGATTCCATAGTGCCTACCCGTGGAGCTGTTTGAGGATTGAATGAGATTTTAACCACTGGGCCAGCCCCACCGTGAGGGCTCAGTAAGTAATGTGGTTATCATTTCACTACTATCTGCTTTTCTAACTGTGGGGCTCTGGGGGAAGCTGCATTCTAGACCAGCATGTTTAATCCAGGTTCTTGTCCCAGTGGGCCTCGAGGTTCCTTTGATGTGTGACCTTGGGCCCGTTCCTCCCAGTCGCTGGGCCTCCGTCCGAGGGTTGGGGCTCAGGCCAATCTCTGTGGCCCTGCTGGCTCAGGCCATCTGCATGTGGCACTTCATGAGTCGACCTGGAGCACCCAGGGAGGAAGTGAGGCCCTTCCCAGGGACAGCACCTCTCACCCAAGCCAGAAATGAGTTTTGCAGCCACCATAATGGCTGACGCTGTGCATTCACCCAGGTGTTGCTCAAGTCCTCACTTTGTGGCTGTGCCCACACCCTGGCTTCTCACCCCTCTCCCCTCTCACCAGCTCAAAGCCCACGCCTCCCCTTCCCGGACAGCCTGACCTCCAGCCTCCAGGCCTCTGTCCCTGCAGTGCCTTCCACCCAGGAGGCCGCTCTGCTCTCCTCCATCAGCCCTCTGGAGGGCGGAACGTGGAGGCAGTGGGAGTGAGTGGAGATGCGGCTCAGATGAAACCACCTTGAAAACAGCGCACCGTGATCCCCGCTAGCACCATGGGCTTACGGGGTTACAACCGCCGTCTCTCCTCCACCCTGGCCTCCGGTCCCTCCGTGTGAGCAGAAAGCATCCGGTGGAAGAGGGGCCTGGGTTTTGTCAGGGCTGCACGGTGCTCATGCTTTGCTGTTTCTCCAGGGTCAGACGGGAAATCGCTAACAGGCCCAGACCATGCCAGACCTAAGCTTCCCAGCACTCCCTCCTGCGAGCCGGGCTTCTCTCTCCATGGCGAACAGCTAGTGTGTGGACACGCACTGGGTCAGGGTCTCCACAGTCTCCCATAGGTCCCACTGTCACCAGCCCCATTCACAGTCGGGAAGACTGAGGCTCTGAGTGAGGCCACCGGGCCCAGCCTACACAGCAGGTCTGTGCAATGCCCAGCCCTGTGCGGATCTTGGAATCAGGCACTATGGTTTGCACGGTCCGGGGCACAGTGCTTGGGTGGCCACAACCCAACTCGGTGCCAGCCACCGCTGGGGAGCTCCAGATTTACAACAGGGCCCCGTCATCCAGCAGAGGCAGCTAAAGGCAAAGGGACCAAGGGAGCCCGGAGCTGCCACACGGGGTGGGGGGTGGATGCCTCTCCCGAGGGCAGGGGCCAGGCCTTACCCATCCACACCTCGCCAAAGCAGCCCTGGCCCAGCTTGACCTCCAGCCGCAGCGACTCCCGAGGGATCTCCCAGGCATCCTTGGCCAGGCCCTGAGTCTGCGGCTTGGACGTGGGGCACACGGTGGTGAGGCGGTGGCACAGGCCATCGGCGTGTTCTGAGGAGGAGGCAGGAGGAGCAGTTAGGCGGGTCTTCTGCCCTGGGGCCTCCCTGCCCCTCAGTGTGTGTCGCCCTACATGCCAGATGCACACAGATTTCAGGGGACACGCAGGGTGCCCTCAAAGCCAGGCATCTACATCTGTGTGCACACAGCCCCACCCCCACACAGGCCCACAGTGCTTTATGCATCTGCTGAGTCAGTCATTCAGTCAGTCATTCAGCAGACAGTAGGGGGTGCCAGGAACCCTGCGGGGAGGGAACATGTCCAGGGAACCTGCCCTCAGGAACTCAGAGTCCAGGGAGGAGCCCCACTTCCCTAATCACCTCCCAGGACCACAGATGTGAATGTGACTGGAGAGCTGTTCGCGCAACAGCAGGAGTGGCCTGGAAGGCTTCCTGGAGGAAGCAGCAACTGAGCTTGGATGTGCAGGACGGTGAGGGGTTAAGTAGGGAAGAGCCCTCCAGGCAGGGGCACAGCCAGAGCAAAGGCTCTGAGGAAAGAACAGCTGCAGGGCTGGAGAAGCGGAGGACAAAGGGGCGCAGGGAGCAGGTGGGGAAGGGTGGCACCAGGCGGAGGTGGGGAGGCAGTTAGGATTAGACCACTCAGGGGCCGGTGGGGGTCTTTATCCCAAGATTCCAAGACAGCCCCTGGAGAGTTCTGATCTGAGGGAAAGGGGTTCAGAATGAGCTACACAGCGGTGGCCGAAGAGACAGAGAGTGGCGGGTGATCCCAGAGGAAGTCAGGAGGCCAAGCTGAGAGGAGGAGGAGGCTCGGGGTGGGGAGTGGACCAACACCTGTGCACAGAGGCCATGTGTGCCACAGACACACGGGCACACAGGCACCCACAGGCCCGACACTGCAGTCAGCTTCGGATGCCCAGGTGGGTGGGCTACAGCACTGCGCCCACGCCCGAGCCCTCACCCAGCACGCAAGCCCCGCGAGCTCCCTCTGCCGCTCTCTTCCCTCTTTGCTGCAATCGATCTGGCCGCCCCCTCCTCCTCTCCCAGCAACCGGTTCAGACCGGTCCTAGGGCTACAGAGACAAATGACACCAGCCTCTGTCCCCTCCCTTCCAGCTTACTCTGGGGCTCCTCAGGGCAGCCCCCTCCATACCAGCCAGCTGCAGAGAAAGGCGGGCAGTGGGACACTGCGTGGAGCAGGGAGAGAGGGGGACAGGGAGGAGGGGGGCTGGGGGAAAGAAGAGGAAGAAGAAGGAGACAAGGAAAGGAGGGAAAAGGGAGGAGAGAGGAAGGGAGGGGGGAGGGGGAAGTGGGGAGAGAAGCAGGATAACAGAAGTCCCCACCCTTCTAGGCTCCAAGGCCCCTCCCCAGAGTCTGCAGCTGAGGCTTTGCCCGCCCGCCCTCCGCCCTCCGAGGCTGGCTCACTGGAGTAGTAGGCCACCAGCTGCTGCAGGCTGTTGAACTGGGTGCGGGAGGTGATGTAGAAGCCGCCGCTGTCCAGCTTGCGGATCTTGTAGTGCTTCACGTTGAGGCCCTTGGCGTTGTCGAAGTCAGACACTGAGAGGCAGTAGGCACCTGCGGGGCACCGAGGGGAGCCGTGACCGCCATGCCCTCTCCCCCCGCAGGCCGCTGCTCTGGACACCGTTCTGTGCCTGCCTGACATTGGAGGGAAGGGAGGCCCAGGCGGGGCCCCAGGCCCACCCTGTCTCTCAACAGCCAGCCCCGGGGCAGCCACAGAGGCAGGGCCAAGGGACCCAAGAGACACTTGATTAGTACGTCCTGCCACGCACCCTTGGCCCCAGCAAGACCTCCATATCCCAGGTGCACATCCTAGCTATGAGACTTGGAGGGGTTGCTGGCCCTATCTGGGCCTCAGTTTCCTCCTCTGCACAATGCGGGTGCTCCCAGGGCTGCTGGGGAGATTCCATGCAACCACATATAGAAGGGCCCGGCACACACTGGGCACTCAATAACTGCTGGGAGCCTGTGAGTGGCTCCCTGTGGCTGTGTGGCCCTGGCCTAACTGCTTTCCCTCTCTGGGTCAGCTTGCGGGGGCACTGTCCATGTCCCCCCAACCTCCTTGCTGAAGACAGGCCCAGGCTCAGGCGGGAGGGGGTGGTTGGCAGAGGCTTTGGCCGTCGTGGGCAGGAGACCACGGGCTGGGTGTGGCCTGAAGGCTGCCTGGGTCAAACGGGGCCAGCCCTGGTGCCTCCCCTCTTTCCCTTGAGCATAGAAAAGCTTTTGGCCGGAAAAGTTTCCTCCCATCCAGCAGGCCTGGGTAGGACCAGAGGCCAAGAGACGCCCAAATGGCATCAGGGAACAAGGCTGAGCCCCGGAGGCAGGGGCAGAGGCTCCAGCAGCCAGGGACAGGCCTTCTCAGGAGCCTGGCCAGGCAGTGCATGGGCATGGGGGAAGCCCAGCCATCCTAGCCCACAGACCTCCCCCTCTGCGATCTTCAGGAGATTACAATCCCAGCGTACAGAAGAAATGAGGTCCAGAGAGGGAAGTGGCCAGCCTGGGGTCACCCAGCAAACCAGAGACAGGGCTGGGGCTCAAACCCACATCCGGGGACTCAAAGCCTGCCTTAGGCAACCATGATTTTCTACTGATGGCCCGGGAGGGTGCATGTGGAAGCCACAGGCCTGAGGCTGAAGCCAACCCCAGCCACATGTCCATACACGCACAGGCATGCCCATGCCCAGTAGCCACACGCTCACACAAGTACACGCTCCCTAGGCCCTCAGGCACCAGACAAACCACAGCAGTCCATTCCCACACAGCAACACACAGACAATTCCACCCCACATGCACACACACACACGCCCAGATGTACACACAGCATGCACACCCGCACATGGCTGCACGACTGCTCGTAAATGCACGGCTCGACATGGATGCTCTGCTTCCCATCTCCCGCTGAGCCCCAGGCCCACAGGAAGCAGCTCAGCTTGGCTGCCATGGTGACGGGCGCCTGCAACCCACTTTCAGAGGGGCTGGAGAGAAAGGGGATGGTCTTCATTCTCTGGCTCAGGGGAGGGACAGGAGAGGGGCAGGGACCAGGACTGCAGTTGGGGGAGGGCAAAACCAGCCTCCAGCATCCAGTGCAGCCCAGGGACCCCTGGGGAAGAGGAAGAAGCGGGGCTCATTGTAGCAGCACCTACCCTGGGAACGAGCCTGTTACTGTGTGACACTCAGACCTCCAGACAACCTATGTTCATCTTTTATCTGAGAAAACTGAGGCCAGAGAGACTAAGCCTCATCTTTCTCTGGACATCTGGCCACCGCGGATTACTCAGTGTTCCTCAAATGCACCTCCCTGACTTTGATCCTGCCATTACCTCCACCCGGAAGGTTCTTCCCTCCCTACTCCACAAACCAAACTCCTGCTCATTCCACAACACCCAGCTCAAACCACTCACAGAAGACTCAGTATCCGTTGGCCAGCAAGAGCGCTCGTACCTTTCGTGGTCTCACTTTCTCGCACGAGGAAGGTCCCTCTCGGGTTCTCTGCATTGAGCAGTAACCGCTCTGACTCCCGTCTGGTGATCTTGCCAAAATACCACCTGGGGGTGGGAGGACGGAGGATGGTGCTGACTGTCCAGGCTTCTGCCCACTCACAGTGCTTCTCCCTGGATATGGCTGGGGCGCTGGACAGCCAGACCTCCCACCCCAGCCCAGGAGAGGCACTCTGCACCGGCAGTGTCCAGGGACGACGGGTAGAGGCAGCCAGAGACGGTACTCACTCCTCAGCCTGGATGGAGTCGGAGGGCGCCACGTAGTTGCTGGGGATGTAGCCTGTCTGTCCTGTGCTGAGCGAGTGGGCCAGCCACCAGTCTCCCTCTCTGAGCAGGGACAGAAGGAGGGAGGAAAGGAGAAGGGAGCCGTCAGCCACAAGCCCGGTGCCCACCATCCTCCTAGGTGCTGTGCTCAGGGCTCTAGTGGCTGAGGGAGGCCCAGGGAGGTGGTGGGGCCAGCGTGAGTCCCCACAGCATGCCAGGTCCAGCTGGCCTGGAACTCCTCCCCTCCCTGGCGCAGACGCCTTTTTGCCAAAGCTGGATCAGATGGACTTTGTCTTGGACCAGGGCAGGACTGGCCTTGGTCATCTGAGGCTCAAATCCATAGGGGAGGAGTCCCGGGACAGGAAGAAATTCACTTCCTTTCAGATGTACCAAGACATCTCAAGATGCCGAGAGCTGCCTTGGGAGGGAGGGAGGGAACCCCCTGTCTCTGCGGGCAAGTAAGGTTGTAATAGAAGAGATTCCTGGCTGAGAGAAAGTCAAGTGAGACCTACAAAGTGTCCCCATGCTCTGAGATTTGGAAGCCCGCTCCTGGGAGCTGGTGAGACCTGGGTGGAGGCAAGCAGGGGCCCTGCTGGGACCCAGTGACCATCCAGGCCCCAACCCTGCAAACTAGAGCAAGGCTTGCCTCTGTCCCAAATCACGGGTCACACCTAAAGGGCTCCTCGGCTGAAAACTACAGGCCTCCTCCTCCAGCCTACCCATCTGCAGGGGGAAACTGAGGCCAGAGGGGGCTGGGACTTGCCCAAAGTCACACAGTGAGCCCTGTCAGAGGGGGTGAGGTGGCAGAGCCCCAATGCCCAGGGCACTTCTATGCGAAAGTGAGGAGAAGGAGTGGGGGGTGTGATGGGGATGGGGCAGGAAGAGCTCCCGGCGTGGTCGGGTCCCCTGGGCCTGGGCGGGAGCGGGGAGGGGCGGAAGTACCTTTGCAGCCATCTGAATGTGAACCAGGTCTGGCTGGAGCGGGGGTCCAGAGACACAGAGGAGGGAGGAGAGAGCGAGAGCCCAACAGGAGAGAAGAGGCAGAGATGGGGGTGGTGAGAGGCGGAGAGTGGCAGAAAGAGCAGGGGAGAGAGCGGGAGAGCCAGGCGGTGCTGGGGACAGGGGACGAGGGGGCAGCCACAGAGGCCTCACATCCAAAGCAACCAAGGGGACAGGGACGGGGTCCACAGGGAGTGAGGAGAGGTCAATGGGCAGGGAGACCTGGGAACTAGGGTCCAGCCCCTCTCATTCCCACTGTACAGCTGGGAAGACTGAGGCCAGAGAAGCAAAGGCCTCTTTGCTCAAGGTCACACAGCCAGGCCCAGGCTCCTGACTCCCAGATAGGAGCACCCCCTGCAGGTTGCAGCAGGGCTTGACAGCTTGCTGGGCTCTTCTCAATCCAAGGCCACTTTTGTACTTCACCAGGACCCTGAGAAGACACACGGCAGGCAGGGTGGCCCCCACCCACCGCCAGGGCCCAGAGAGAGAAAGGCCCTTGCCTACAGTCACACAATCTGAACATGAACCTGGATCCCTGGCTCCCACTTCTTCTGAGCTGCCCCTGGCCATATTCTTCAGCCCATATAGAAGATGGAGAAGTTGAGGCCAGGAGGGAGCAGGGCTTGGGGAGCTCTCCAGGGACCTGTCGGAGGACAGGTGAGCACCTGAGACACTGGGGTTCAGCCGGATGGCTCGAAGTGAGCCAGAGGGTGTTGTGTCCCCTCCTGATGGAGTGAGGCAAGGGGGTGTGACTGGGGCTGTGTGGCCTGTCTTGGCTCTGTGATGGCTACACACACACTCGGGCAGGGGGGCAAGCCATATGGGGTCACTGGAGGGAGGGCCCGGGAGTAAGGAGGCAAGACCCACCTCAAGAAAAGAAGCCTTTGGATGCCCCAAATCCCCACCCACCTCCTTGTTGTACACCCACCCGGGGTGTCCACACTTGTCTCTCCCACTGACCCCCAAGGCCACCCTGCAAGGGAGGAAGGCAGGGCTCCAGGCCCCAGATGAAGAAACTGGCTCAGAAATGTCAAGCGATCAGCGCAGGGACACACAGCACCCAGGTCAGAGTAGCCCAGCACTTTATTTATTTATTTATTTTTTTGAGATGGAGTCTTGCTCTATCACCCAGGCTGGAGTGCAACAGCGCGATCTCGGCTCACTGCAAACTTCACCTCCCAGGTTCAAGCGATTCTCCTGCCTCAGCCTCCTGAGTAGTTGGGATTACAGGCAAGCCCCACCATG
The DNA here is from genome assembly GCF_000001405.40 of Homo sapiens. Classification (NCBI taxonomy): domain Eukaryota; kingdom Metazoa; phylum Chordata; class Mammalia; order Primates; family Hominidae; genus Homo; species Homo sapiens. Next base: position 301,215 of record NW_025791812.1, on the reverse strand, counting down.
CCCAGCTAATTTTTGTATTTTTAGTAGAGACGGGGTTTCACCATGTTGGCCAGGGTGGTCTCGAACTCCTGACCTCAAGTGATCTGCCCACCTCGGCCTCCCAAAGTGCTGGGATTACAGGAGTGAGCCACCGCGCCTGGCCAGCACTTTCTTTAGAGAGTTGGGGAAACTGAGGGACAGAGAGGTGCAGCGACTTGCCCAAAGCTACAAAGCAAGGACTCAAATCACAGAAAACAGCTCTCTGAGATCTTTCAGTTCAAAGCCTCCATTTACCAGTGGGGGAAAATGAGACACAGACAGGCCAGTGATTTGCCCAAAGCCACATGGTCAACCAATGGCAGAGCAAGAGTGAGAAGCAGGGCCCCTGACTGTCCACAGCCAGGCACAGTAGGGCCTCCCCAGGCCCCAGAGAGGCTGAGACCTTTGGGAAAGCCTGTGGCAGATGAAAGAGGAGGCTGCAGGGCGGGGTCAGAGGACAGGCCACAGCGGGAAGGGGCCAAGGTCTAAGACCAGACGCTAAAAATTGAGGCCGTTTGACAAAGCTGCAGTCCGCAGGCTGGCCGGCCTCTGGGGAGTCTCCAGCCACCCAGAGTGGAAGGCTGGCAGGAGGCCTGTGCTCGGAGGCCAGCCAAGCAGGGCCCAAGAGCGAGAGGAGTGCAGCCGATGCTACCCGACTTCAGCGAGCAGGGCTCCCAGCTCCCCAGAGTCAGCCCACCTGTGAGCCTGGGGTTTCATGGTCTAGTCTGGAGGTTTCATTTCACAAGGGGCAGGGAGAGAGATGAGATGCACTCCAATTTTACTGAAGGACCCAAGATCCAGTCTCAGCCTGGCCCCTGATTTAGAGGGGTCTGAGGGAATGGGCTCCAGTGCTGCACTGCCCTAGACACCATCCCAGCTCACCACTTGCTGGCTGTCTGACCTTGGCCCCTCCATACCACACTCGCCAGTCTCAGTTTCCTCATCTGCAGGGTCAGCATGTCTCCCTCCCAGGATATCAAATGCCAGAACAGACAGCGCACGGTGGCTCACGCCTGTGATCCCAACACTTCGGGAGGCCAAGGTGGATGGATCTCTTGAGGTCAGGAGTTCGAGACCAGCCCAGCAACATGGCGAAACCCCGTCTCTAATAAAAATATAAAAATTAGCTGGGCATGGTGGTGCGTGCCTGTAATCTCAGCTACTTGGGAAGCTGGGAAGCTGAGGCAGGAGAATCACTTGAACCCAGAAGGTAGAGATTGCAGTAAGCCAAGATCGCACCACTGCACTCCAGCCTGGGCCACAGAGCAAGATCCGGTCTCAAAAAAAAAAAAAAAAAAAAAAAAAAAGCCAGATCAGAGCCCAGCACAACATGCATCAGCTGTTAGATCTGGATTTAGCTAAAAAATAAAAATAAAAACAACTAAATTGGTATTTCCACAGTGACCCTTTTTAAAAACCAAAGCAGCACAGTCCCAGTCTCCAACAAGGATTTGCTGTGTGATCTTGGGCAAGTACCCTGCCCTCTCTGAGTCTTAGTTTCCTCATATGTAAAAAGCAGACAACATTCACAGAATCTCCCTTGCAGGCAAAGTGTGTAAACAGTGAGCGTCATGCTGGGCTCAGAGTAAACTGAGATGACGACTGTGATGATCATCTGAGCCTCAGTTTGCCCACCTGTGAAATGGAGATATCAATCCCCATCTTCCCATGTCAAGGGCTTGGGAGGCTCAAAGCTGCCTCCGGTGGCTGCGGTCACCAGTCACAGCAGCATCAAGCCATCAGGGAGAGGAATTCTACGGCATCCAGCACCTTCCCCCGGGCCTGGTCCTCATCAGGTGGGCAGCAAGCAGGGAAGGAAGGGAAGCCTTCCCACCCATGGCTAGAAGAAGGGCCAAGAGTCCCAGAGCCATGATTTTTCACAACTGCTGGTCACCAGCTGTGTGACCTCAAGCAACTGAGTTCACCTCTCTGAGCCTCAGGATCCTCTTTTGGGGCCCTAATCCTTGGGGCCAGCCAGGGTGGCGTGTGGCTCAGGGGCACGGCAGCTTTGGAACCTGGGACATGTGCCAGCGTGGGCACTGACATTCGCTCCCTTGGGCTGCTGGGACTGGTTGGGAGGGCACTCTGGGGATGGCCGCTGAGCTGGTGCACCACAGCTGAGGCTGGCCAGGTGGGCAGTGGCCAGGAGGTCAATTGCCAAGCCCCAAGACCTGGAGCACATGGTCTGTGGGGTGAGGGAGGAGCGAGGCAGGGGTGAAGCCAGCACAGGTCTCTGGAGGAGAGCATGAAGGCAGGACCCCGAGGCTCTAGACTCCCGAGGTGCCCCCTGCCGCCATGCCGGGGGCAAGGAGGCAGAGGCCAGCTGAGGCGCTGTTGCCCAGAAGCGCCTGCCAGAAAACTCCCAAAAGAAGCTCCTGGAATTTGGGTGGGAGGAAGGGGCAGTTCAGGGAGCAACCCAGAGTCAGACCCAGGAGGGGCCCTGACTCCTGAGACTAGGATGTCAGATGAGGGAGCTTGAGGCAGTCAGACCTCAGCCCCAGAGGGCTTCCTCACACCCAGGGCCACACAATACCCAGAATACCAGGACCCAGGGCCATGTGGCAGCAAGATCCATGGCGCGGGATCTCTGGGTCTGCTACTGCGAGGACCCCCACTTGGCCAGACCCCATCCACAGACGGGTTCCTCCTCTAGCTCTCTACTGCCCTGACAGCCAGCCCAGCCTCCACACGTGCCTGGGCCCCATGCTAGATTCAGAAAGCCCCCCACTCTTACAGGGTGGGGGAGGCACTGCACAGTAATAGGCCCTGAGCACTGATGGAGGAAGGACGTGCATGCAGGCGGGTCCCCGGGATGAGGTGTGAGACTCAAACACCTTAAATTCCGGTGGCCCATCTCCTACCAAGCCCCGCCCCCCAAATCCCTTTCCCTCTCCTCTTCTACTAATACCAGCCCCCCACCTACACCTCCCTCCTTCACTTCTTTTTTTTGAGACAGAGTCTTGCTCTGTCACCCAGGCTGGAGTGCAGTAGCACGATCATGGCTCACTGCAGCCTTCAACTCCTGGTTCCAGCGATCCTCCTGCCTCAGCCTCCTGAGTAGCTGGGACCACTGGCATGCGCCACCACACCTAGCTAATTTATTTTTATATTTTGTAGAGGCCAGGTCTCCCTATGTTTCCCAGGCTGGTCTCAAACTTCTGGGTTCAAGCGATCCTCCTGCCTCAGCCTCCCAAAGTGCTGGGATTACAGGCGTGAGCCACCGCGCTCAGCCACCATCTCTGACGTCTAAGCGAAGGAGCATTGGAGCATTGTGACATGAGGAGGGGCTCCCAATCCACCCACCCCCATCTCCCAATCAGCTACCCCAGGGTCTTCCCTGAATGAGATTCCATCACTTCCAGGCCTCCTGGCAGCCCCAGCCTCCTGGCCAAACCTCCCCCAGCCCACCCTCCCTGGAAGACAAGAAGAGTGGAGGGAAAGGGCTGGAAAAAGGCAAGCATGGGGCTACTCTCTGAATCCAGGTGAAAAAGGCAGAACCAAAGTTCTCCCAGCCCTTCCTGCCTCCACAGCTCTGCCCCAGCTGTCACCCCAGTCTGAGACGCTTGGTAGAGACTCCACCAGGACTTCAGAGCCATCCTGCTGACGCCCCTCCCCTGCACGGGCCTCTCCCTCCTGTGGCCTCTGCTGCACCTCCACTGAGCCTTCCTGAAAGGATCATGGGTCGGAGGGCCAGCCTAGTCTTCCAGCTCTGCCACTACTAGCCATGTGACCTTGGGTAAGTTATTTCACCTCTTTGGGCCTCAGTTTCCTCATCTGTAAAATGGTGCAAGTAAGACTTCCCATTTCTCGAGGCTATGGTGATGCGTAAATAAAATAACGCAACTTCAAGCACTCAGCACAGGGCCCAGCTCACACAGAGAGCACAAGAAATGGTGACATTGTCACTGCTGTTCATTCATCCTGTTCACCATCACCTGCTGGGCACCCGCCACTGTGCTGAGTTACAGGTGCTATGGGGACCCAGAAGTGAGGTGCACCAGAGAGCCACCCTCCAGCAGCTCCCAGTTTAGGGGGGAAGCAGACACAAACAGCTGGTGACAATAAGGAAACTGTAGCTTCGCACCAGGACTCGGCCATGCAAGGGGGGAGGCGGAGCCGGGAGAGCCCCCCCTCCCACCCCCCCGCCAAGAGCAGGTTGAGGAGGGCAGAAAGTTGCTGCTTCGGTTCCAATCCTGGCTTTGCTACTTGGCAGCTGTGTGACCTTGGACAAGGGCCTTCACATCGCTGAGCCTCAGTTTCCTCATCTGCAAAATGGAGACAGCCCCCTCCCCGATCACTTCAGCCCTGGCTAGACTGCAGAGAGGAGTCAATACAAGGACACAGGTGGAGACGACTGGCATGGCAACTGGCACCTCTGTTCCCCTTTGCCCCTCTGAGAAGGCAGTCCTGCACTGATCTTGAGCGATGAACAGGAGTTCCCCAGGCAGACACTGGAGAAAGGGCATTTCAGGCAAAGGGAAGAGCATGCGCAAGGCAAGTGGGGCATGAGCAAGCCAGACACGCTCGGGGCAGTGGAAACCCCCAACTTCCTTAGCCAGGCCTTCGAGGACACCCAGGGATCGATTCTCCTCTGCCTTCTAGAACCTTCCTGCCTTCCACACCCGTGAAGGCGTCAGCCCCCTCCAGTCCGGCACCCTCCCGCAAGCTGCCCTTCCACCACCTCCACCTGCCAGATAACTTCACTGGCTTTCCTTCGAGGCCCTTGACCCTCTCAGTCCCTGTGGTCATCACCGGAGGCAGGTCCACAGCAGGGGCTCCAGGAGCCGACTCTGGGCTCGCCCACTGCCTGACTCTTGGCCTGGGCTGGGGCCATGTGCTGTCTCCCTGGCCACATGCTGGCTCCAGGGGGACGTGGCCAAGGCCTTCTCCACCCAGGCTATCCCCATCACAGCACTGGGTCCTGCATGCAGCAGATACTTGGGTGGGCTGACGGGGCAGAATGGGAGGGTGAGTGAGTAGGAAGGTGGATGGGGAGGAGATGTGCAGGAGAGTGCAATGGAAGGGCCCCTGATCGCAGCCTGCGTTAAGGTCCAGGACCTAATCAAATTGGTGGAGGGGGGAGGGGAGAAGCTGGGAGGTGAGGAGCAGCCAAGAGAGCCAGAGATCACAGGCAGGGAGTGGAAGCACATGCAGACAGCAGCCCCCACCCCCCGCGAAGCACCCCGCCCAGCCCGCCGCCCACGGAGCATGTACACACCTGACATCCACCTTCCTCCTAAGGGCCAGCGAGAGAGAAGCAGAGAGAGGGAGAAGCTGAGAGAGGGCTGGAGGGAGCAAGCGAGAGCCAGGGATTGGGAGGAGTTCCCCATGGCTGGGGGAGCAACAGCAGGTGCTGCCCAGGGCGAGAGTGCAGCAGGCGCCTGCCTCCACACTGCCCTGGGCTTCGCACTGCCCTGGGCTCTGCACTGTGCTGCCCTGATGCCAGATCCTGCATGAGCCCCTGCCCGCTTTGAAGTCCCACCACCCAGCCCTGAGGGGCAATAGGGAAGGGGGCACTCACGTGTTGTTGACAATCTGGAGCCGCTCGCCTTTCTTGAAGGACAGGTCTGTCTCCGTCCTAGACTCATAGTCATAGAGGGCCACAAAGGTGGTCACTCCACCTGCAGAGAGGGGTGGGGTGTGTCAGAACAGTGGGGCCACAGCCAGGGAAGGCATGGGCAGGATGGCCCTGTACCCAGGAGGAGTGGATTTGTCTCCCACACGCAAGTGCTCAGCCCAAAGACACAGTCAGGTTCAGTGAAGATGGGCCTGTGCACGTGTCCACTGCATCCGTGTATCTGCGCATCCCTGCAAGGGCGTGTGGGAGCGGGAGCATCCCTTCCTGTCCGCGTCCGTCCCCGGGGCTTTGGGCAGTGCTGGGTGCTGGCTTATCTGTTTGGTGCCTGTCTTGCTCTAGGAGCAGAAGTCGCCAATAACCAGCATCTTTGTTTTGTTTCCAGAGCCAGGCACATAGTAGGTGCTCAAGAAAGAGCTATAGGCTGAAGGAAGCGGTGAATGAAGAACACTCCCCCAGGAGGCTCGCTCTCTCTCTATAAAGTGTGTCACTCTGGGCGCTCCTGGTGTCCAGGAAGATTTGGCTCCAAGTAACTGCCCCCTCAGAAAGGCCCCCGTACCCCCTTCCACCATTTTAAGCTACAGCCTCCACCTCCTCACATCCCCCAGCCCTCCCTCCCTGCCTGTTTTGCGCCTTCGCAGCAGCGCCCCTTCTAACACCCTCCACGAGCTGCCCTTTGCTTCCTTCCCCCAGGTGGGTTCTGTCTGCACCGCTGGGGCCCGGGCAGCAGAGGAGCCCTGGCCTGTAGTAGGAGCTCCACATATACTTATTGAACAAATGAATGGTGTGTCTGTGGGTCTGTTTCTCTCGCTTGGGCGTGCGTCTGCGTCTGAAGGGTCCACGCCTGTCCGTGTGTCTCTGAGTGTTCTCATGTTCTCGATGCACCTGTGTGTATCTGTCTCCTGGGCGGCCACGATGGTGAGATTGTGATTTCCAGCTGAGCGTGTGTCTCTGAATGCGCTTCTGACGGCATGTGCGTGTGTCTTCAGCTACAAGTGTGAGGTCACCTGTGCATGTGAGTTTGTATCTGGGTACATCTGCGTTGGGGATGTGTCTGCGGGTGTCTGTGACCCTGCCTCCACCCCGCATGTGTGCGTGTCCCTGGCGGGGGTGTAGCCGTGTGTGTGGCCCAGCGTGTGCCTGTGGGGAGAGTGAACGGGTCTGAGTGAAGGAGTGAAGTCTGCGTGGAGTGTCTGGGGCACCGCCGCGGCTCTCCAAAACGGCCCTCTCCGGGGCTGCGGTGACCGCAGAGCGCCAGCAGAGGGCGCAGGGGCGCATCCTGGCGCGGGCCCAACCGGGGCCATCCGGTGCCCCGTTCCCCGAGCGACCCAGCTGCCCCTCCGCCGCACGTGGGCCGCGCGTCCCGACTCATCTCTGGGCGGACCCAGGCAACGAAAAAGGACTGGGCGCCAAGGCAGCAACAGGCCCGGTCCCGCGCCGCCCTTCTTCTTCTTGGGCTTAAGCGTCCAATTAGAACCCATTAACCACACCCCGTGTCTTTTGCGCTTGCTCCACCCCAAAGCCAGCGGCGGCGGCGCGGACGCTTCACAGTGTGTACGGCCGCCCCCCCACCCCCCGGACACCCAAGTCACCCAGGGGCGCTACCCCTGGCGAGAGGAAGGGCCTGCGCAGAGGGGGCGACCCCGGGCACACAGCCCCGCCGCCTCCCCGCCGTGGCCCCAGGTGGGCGAGGACCCCGCGCCGCCCGCGCACTGACCGGCCAGCGGGCCCGCCCTCTGCGGGGAGGTGACGGTGTCCGAGGAGTTGAAGCCTCCGAACAGCTTGGGCTCGGCGGCCGCGGGGGCGAAGGCCGCGCTGGGGCCGCGGTGGCCGTCGGCCGAGGCTGGCTTGCTGGGGGTCTGCGAGGCGGGGAAAGCGCCCCCGCCAGCGCCGTGCACGTTCTCGGCGGGCTCCAGGCTGCGGCGCCGCTGGCTGGCATCCTTGGGCTTGCTCTTGTTGCTACCCATGGTCCTGGCAGGAGAGAGAGAAGACACTGGAACAGGCAGGGCTGCCGGGGCCCCTTGGCCGGCCTCCCTCCCACCCATTCCACAGATAGGGAAAACGAGGCCCAAGGAGAGGCAGCAGGGCCGGGCGCGGTGGCTCACGCCTGTAATCCCAGCACTTTGGGAGGCCGAAGCGGGCGGATCACTTGAGATCAGGAGTTTGAGACCTGCCGGGCCAACACGCGGAAACCCGGGCTCTACTTGAAAAAAAAAAAAAAATTAGCCGGGCATGGTGGCACGCGCCTGTAGTCCCAGCTACTCCGGAGGGTGAGGCAGGAGAATCGCTTGAACAGGGGAGGCAGAGGCTGCAGTGAGCTCAGATCCTGCCACTGCACTCCAGCCTGGGCGTCAGAGGAATACTCTGTCTCAAAAAAAAAAGAAAGAAAAGAAAAAAATGGGGGACAGGGGCACCAGCCTTTTTGGGAGAGTTAGCCTCTCAAAACCTCGATGTCTTCATCTGTAAAATGAGCGTAAGGATGGCATCCATCCGTAAAGGGCTTCCTCGGTCCAGCGCCAGGAACGGAAGAAATGCCTCATAATCAGAAGCCCTGACCTTACCCACCCACCTCCCCCTGAGTCACTGTTTCCCTCCCTCCTGGCAGGGACAGTATCTGAGCCACGCCTATGTCCCGGGCACCTAGCACATGGAGGGGGCTCATTGAGGGTTTGTTGAATGAATACGTGGCTGACGGGAATTGCCTAACGCTGGGGAAAGGTGCTAAAAGTGGCAGCCAAGGCCATACAGCAGGAGGTTTGAAGCAGAGATGGCTGGGAGCTCACTCCAGCCACAGGGCCTTCACACATACCATTCCCACTGCCCAAATGCTGTTCCCTGGCCACTTCACCAGGGTGACTGGTGCCTCCTTCCGTTCTCAACTCAAAAGTCCCCTCCTTGGGAAGTGTTCCCCAAATCCTTTCACTGGGTCCCCCTGACTTGTGTCTGTCTTTGATAACATGTGGTCCTGTTTTGTTTTTGTTGTTTGAATTCATGTGGTTATGTGACTACTGTCGTGGGCTTTTGTTCATCTTGTTCACTGCTGTGCTCCCAGTGCCTAGCATGGGGTGTGGCACACAGTAGGTGCTCAGTAAACAGCTGAACGAATGAGTGACTATTTAAGAGCTAAGGGACTTCAGAGCCAGAAACCTGGGAGGTCCAGAGAGACGGAAACACAGAGTAAACCAAGTTGAAAACTCCCCCTGACGCCCACAGTCCTGCCACCACCCTCTGCCTCCCATTTCCCCATCCGCAGGCCCTGGCTGGTCCCAGCTCCCACCCAGATTCGCTGGGATCTCCCCACCCATCTTGAGCCCTGATAGGGCCATCATCTCACCTGGTAGAAGGCAGGGGCTGTCCCAGAGGACCTGGGAGGCAGCCTGGGGTCTTGGCACAAACACCAGGTGTGGAGTCAGGGGTCTCGAAATAGAGGCCCTGCTCCACCTCTCCCCGCTGTGTGTCCCTAGGCAAGTGGCTTTCCCTCTCTGGGCCTCAGCGTCCTCATCTGCAAAGCAGGGATAAAGCAGACATCTCAGCACTGTTTTGAGGATGTCATTAGAAAGAGAAATCATAATGGCGCCCACTCTCTGATCACTGTTCATCAGGCTATGGCTCTAGCAGGCCCGTGCTAAGAGCCTCCTAGACCTGAAATATCCTTCAACCCTCCCAAAGTCTTTTCAACCCTCTCAAAGCAAGAGCGAGACAGGGTATGGCATGGTGGTGAGAGTGGGCTCTGGAGCTGGGCTCTCCACATCCAGATCCTGGCTCTACCCCTAAATAGCTGTGTAACCTTAGGCATGTGACTTAACTTCTCTCTGTGCCGTTTCCTCATCTGTAACGATGGGGTCATTGTGATAAATGCACAAGACACTGTAGGGTGCTAGGGGCATCACAGGTCACCTCAGCCGTTATTGATATTGTGTAATTCTGGACACACCAGGGAGGCAGGTTCCGATTATTCTTTGGGGAGGCAGAAGGCCTGGGAATCGGTCCAGAATTTCCTCTGAGAACCCATGAGTGGGGAAAAGGCCCCCTGACTGGCTGGGTCCTCGGGCAAGGCTGTTTGCCCTGAGCGCCCAGCCCAGCTATGAGACGCCCCCTGCCTGTGTGAATTTCAGCCTGTCCCCTGTGCCCCTGGGGCCTCAGGCTACCCAGCTGCACAATGGGGGTATGGTTTGCATGCTCCCTGGGGACCACCCAGCTCAGAGAATGTGGGGTTGGGGAGGCCCTGGGGAGACCTGCTGAAGAGCTCAAGGGATTACCATGGTCTCCTGAGGGACAAGTCAATGGACCTGGGGACAGGTCCAAAGTCAGTTTCTATGGCAACCTATTCCATTGAGGTCACGATACCCATCAGCACTCACCCAGCTGGTGTCCCACAAGAACTGCTGACCTGGTTACCTGCAGCCCAAGGATTGATGGGGGCCCAACCAGCCCGCCCCCTAGCCACTTGCTTCCTGGTGCAGCATTTATAGTACCTACTAGCAGGCCCTGTGCTCCTCACTATAGGGGGACATAGAGACGAATTAGCCAGGTCCTGCCTCAGGACCCCAAAGCAGGGGACTTGTTTATGAGACTTTAAGAGGAAGTAAAAATTTTTTTAAAAAATTTTTATGGAGGAAGAACTATCTAAGAGCCTGAATTTTCTTTAGAATAAAATAAATGTTGAGGAGTGAGCTCCCTGTCACTGGAGGTAATCAAAGACGGGAGAATGGGTACTTGGCTGATGTGCCATGAAGGGAGACAGAGAGCCAGGGCTAGACCTTAAGGGCCCTTCCAGTATCAAGGATACATGTCACCTCTTGGAAGGGGACAAGAAGAAAAGACACAACCCCTGACCCCTGCACTCACAAACACGAAGACCACTCCACACTGGGGCACTCAGAAAAAGCATAACAGGGACCTTTAAGACGAAGCTAAGGTCCTGAGCCACCAAGTGCAATGTTTGATGGTTTGTGAGACTGTTTTTTTGGTCTTGGTGGTTGATCCTGGTGTTTGTGGAGAGGCAGACGGTTGAGGTTAAGAGCCGGAGTGCTGGAGCAGACTCCCTGGTTTGAATCCTGGCCGGCCGCCCTTCGCCTCAGTTTTCCTCTCTATCGATCGGGAATAACACCCGTGTCAGGACTGCTGGGAGAATCCGTGAGAAAAGTACACGGAACATGCTCAGGATGGCACGGAACGTTACCAGGCCTCCGTAAATGGTAACTTTTATCATTCAGAGTGGACTCTTTGAGAACTACAAGAAGATTAAAAAAAAAGAAAAGAAAAAATAAAAGAAAATGCCCCATAATTCTGCCCCTAGAAGACAAACACCTGGGTGTGGTGGTGCGTTTCCTTCCAGCGTCACAGCAACGCAAGACGGTCAACAAACTGGGGTCCACCCAGTGCCCTCCACTGTGCACTCGCGGCTGTCAGGGCCAGGCAGGATCCATCTCCATGCCCCCAGAGACCAGGACGGGCCTGACACCCACTAGGTGCTCTGGAACTATTTGCAGAATAGACAAAAGACTAAATGGGCATGGATGTATAATTTGCATCCTACTTTGTTCCTGCAATGCCACACTGAAAAGACTAAATATCATTCCGTGGTATTCAAATACTCCCAGAGCTCAGACCTTGAATTGGACCTTGCTCTAAGTACTTTGCAAACATTGACTCATCGGCTCCTCATGATAATCTAGGAGGTAAATACTAATCATGTCTTTATCTTACTGTTGAGGACATTAAGACACAGAGAGGTTGAAGAACTTGCCTGAAGTCACACAGCATGGGTGAGAGTGAAAAGGGGCCACCACACTGGGCAGGTGGGAATCAGGGGCTGAAACTCACAGGCCCCACCTCCTACCCCCAGGGATCTCTCTCACAAAGCAGCCAGATGGCCTTGGAAGAGGGGTGAGAGGATAAAGCAGCCCACCCCACTCCCAGAGAAAGCCTGAGAAAGCTCCGAGCAGAACGTCCTTGAGCAAGAATGGCCCACTGAGGGTCATGCGGGTAGCACTGTGGCCCCCACTTTCCAGATGAGGAAACTGAGGCCCTGAGATACCCAGAGGAGATTCTACACTGCCGCCTCCCTCTTTTCACTTTATGTGTTAGTGTGTTCAGAGCATCTTCTCAGGCCACTCCAAGCTCTCTCGGTCTTTTTCTTTTTTCTTTTCCTTTTTTTTTTTTTTTTTTTTTTTTTACTCCAAGCTCTCTCGTTCTTTTTCTTTTCCTTTTTTTTTTTTTTTTGAAATGGAGTCTCACTCTATTGCCCAGGCTGGAGTGCAGTGGCGCGATCTCGGCTCACTGCAACCTCCGCCTCCCGGGTTCCAGCGGTTCTCCTGCCTCAGCCTCCCAAGTAGCTGGGATTACAGTCACCGAATACCACGCCTGGCTAATTATTATTATTATTTTTTTTTTTTGAGACAGAGTCTCCTCTGTCGCCCAGGCTGGAGTGCAATGGTGTGATCTCGGCTCACTGCACCCTTCGCCTCCCAGGTTCAAGCAATTCTACTGCCTCAGCCTCCTGAGTAGCTGGGATTACAGGTGAGTGCCACCACTCCCGGCTAATTCTGGTATTTTTAGTAGACACGGGGTTCCACCATGTCGGCTGGGCTGGTCTCGAAAGCTACACGGCTCTTCACTCGATGACTCAGTGAGGGTGGGAGTTAGTCTCGGAGGGCTGCTTCCATGCCGTGGGACCTCATGAGAGACCACCCTCCTCCCTGGCACAGAGCTCTATCCTTGCACTTCCTGGTTCTGGGGCCCAACTGCCGAGTCACCATGAGTTGCTCCTTGGAGAGGGGCCAACCCCCCTCATCTCTTCCGCCACTTGCAGCCTCCAAGGTAGAGATAGACCCTTGCGGGGGTCAAGGGGAAGCAGTGGGGGCCCCACAATGGGGCTGCCTGAGGTTCCCAGGGAAAGGTGGCCCCTTTCCTTCGGGAAGCCACTCCTCACCGTGGGCTCTGGACTCCTCAGCAGACAGGGGGCCTGCACTATGGCTCGCTCCCTCGAGAGGTGCCGAGTTGCTGCTATAAGAACTTTTCCCTCGGCGTTCCCAGTGCCTTGAGCTCAGCAGGTCCCCAAGTGGCCTAGTACCTCCCGCTAAGCCTGCATCTCCCCCCCACCCCCATCCCCATCACTGACTCAGCGACAACCCCTGCACATCCCACCCCAGTCATTCTCCAGGTATTCGCAGAGCACCTGCCACGTGCCAAGCCCTGTGTGGGGCTCTGCCCTTGGGGAGCCCCGGGGTAGTTCCTGAATCTTCCTCAAGCGCATTCCTCCCCTCCACCCTGTCTATCTCCAGTCCTTCAGGCCAGGGCCCTGTGATCCTAGGCCTGGACACAGCAGTGTGGGCCCCTCCAGTCCACCCTCCCCCCGCAGCCAGAGGCGGCTCTGTAAACCTCACAGACAACTGGGCCTCCTCCGCTTAAAACTCTCCACAGAAAGCCATTAACAACCTACGTGTTCCTCAGAGAGGGGCTGGTTAAATAAAGGGGCTCCAGTCCTCAAGTGGACAGCAGTGCAGCCATTACAAAGAATGAGAGCTGAGAGTGGCCTGATAAGAGACCCCAACACACTGTTTCAGTGAAAAGAAGGCAGCGGCAGGGTAGAATCTCCTCTGGGCATATTAGGGCCTCAGTTTCCTCCTCTGGAAAATGGGGACGATGCTACCCACATAATAGGGTTGTGAGCAATCAAACATGATAATGCAGGCAGTGGGCTTAATGTGGTACTGGACCTGTAGCAAACATGAGCTGCTATTATCTCTGTAAAGAAGATTGAGCCTGGGCAACATAGTGAGACTGTATCTCTATAGAAGATTAAAAATTAGCCTGTAGTCCCAGCTACTTGGAAGGCTGAGGTGGGGGGATCACTTGAGCCCTGGAGTTTGAGGCTGCAGTGAGCTATCATCGCGCCACTGCACTCCAGCCTGGATGACAGAACGAGACCCTGTCTCAAAAAAAAAAAAAAAAAAAGAGAAGAAAGAAAGGAAATTGCACACACACACATGCACTCTGCCTGAGCAACACAGTGAGACCATGTCTCAAAAAAAATAAAAATAAAATAATAATAATAATTTTAAAAAAAACTAAAAGAGTAGAATTGGATTGTTTGTAACACAAAGGAATGATAACTGAGGTGACGGATACCCTACTTACCCTGATGTGATTATTACACAATGTATGCCTGTGTCAAGATATCTCATGTACCCCATAAATATATACACCTACTATGTGCCCATAAAAATTAAAAATTAAAAAAACTTTAAAAAAAGAAAGCTCTGGAAGGATTCCAAATTCATCACAATGTTTCATCTCAAAAGTGTGGGATGGGGAGAGGAAAATCCCTTTTTCACTTTACACCCTGTATCAGTTGACATTTAGAAATGACTTTGTCATGATTTTCTAAAGTGACAATTTTTAAAAAATATTCAAGAGCTTCCCATCATAAGCCTGTGGATGAGGCCTAAAGCCATCACCTGGGTCCACATGGCCCTGCAGCTGGTGGTGCTGCCGTCTCCCATGGTGTGTCCCATGCTCCCACGGCGTGTCCCATCCTCCCACAATGATCTACCCAACCACAGGGTGCCACACACTCTCTCTCACCTCCTGGCTCACAGATGCTCAGGTCACACTGCTGTTCAGCCACCACACACCAGCCCCTTCCTTCCTGACTCTGAAGAACATCATCTCACCTCTTCTAAGGGTGGAGAGTAGGCCAGGAGCTTAGGAGCTGAGAGTGAGGACTCCAGTCAAACCTGGGTTCGAGTCCTGGCTGCACTTCTTAGTAGCTACATTTTCTTGTGCAAGTCACTTTGCCTGTGAGTTTCCTCCCCTTTAAAATGGGGATAGAAACCTAACAACTGAAAAGTACGAGTGAGAGTCCTTGTGGCAGGAAAAGAATAAGTGCATGACAAACAGCACACAATGTTGTTTACTGTTGTTATTATCATTCCAGGGAATAAGAGGAGGCAGTGGCAGGGCCTTGAATGCCAAGCACAAGGCTGGGCGCTTTACACACAGTTGGTTCTTAATTGACCCAACAGCACAGTGACGCAGGGACTGTAACTGCACCCACTTTACAGATGGGATCAAGGTTCAGAGAAACTAAAACCTTGTCCAAGGCCACACAGCAAGTGAGTGCAGCAGAGCTGGGATGCTCACGGTTCAGGAGAGCAGTGTCAGAACCTACCTCTGGTACCCCGCCCACTGTGCCAATGACCCCATGGTCCAAAGCAACACAGGGGTCAGAGGGCAACCTATGATCTCATCGCCCACATCTTAGACCCTCCAGGGAAGCAGAAGCATCACAGAGCAGTCAAAAACTACAGGTGGGGCCGGGCACAATGGCTCATGCCTGTAATTCCAGCACTTTGGGAGGCTGAGGCAGGTGGATCACCTGAGGTCAGGAGTTAGAGACCAGCCTGGCCAACATGGTGAAACCCCATCTCTACTAGAAATACAAAATTAGCTGGGCATGGTGGCGCATGCCTGTAATCCCAGCTACTTGATAGGCTGAGGTAGGAGAATCACTTGAACCCGGGTGGTGGAGGTTACAGTGAGCAGACATTGTGCCATTGCACTCCAGCCTGGGCAACAAGAGCAAAACTCCATCTCCAAAATATGTATATATATATACAGGTGGCCCGGGGCCAGAATGCCAGGTTCAGATGCCAGCTTGCAACTTCCTAACCATGCAGCCTTGGGAAATGGGAATTGGTGTGATTGTTCCTACATAATGTGGGGTTCATTGTGAGGAAGCGTGATGTCATATTTGTAAAGTGCCTGGCACATAGAAAGTGCTCAATATCTAATTGGCTATTATTATGATTTCTGTGGAAGACCTTGTTCAGACACTTGCCCTCTTTTGCAGTCACTTTGACAGTTAGGCAAAAGCCTCCAAAATGCCTACTACATGTGCCATGCCCTGTGCATGGTCCTGAGGGGTGTTGTCTGGTGGAGTTGATTAGGAGCCAAGGCCTACAAAAGCCCCTTTACAGGGAAAGAACCCAGAAAAGACAAGGATATCACTATGGACTGAATGTGCATCCCCCACCCCAGATTCACATGTTGAAGCCCTAATCCCCAGTGTGGTGGTGTTTGGAGGTGGGCCTTGGGAGGTGATTAGGTTTACATAAGTCATAAGGATGGAGTCCTTATGACGGGATTAGTGCCCTTATGAGAAGAGGAGGAAACCAGAGCCCTGTCTCTCTCTGCCATGTGAGGACACATTAAGAAGGTGGCCGTTTGCAAACCAGGAAGAGAGTCCTCATCAGACACTGAATCTGCTGCCACCTTGATATTGGACTCTCCAGCCTTCAGAGCTGTGAGAAATAAATGTTCATGGTTTAAGCTGCCCAGTCTATGGTATTTTGTTACAGCAGCCTGAATGAACTAAGATACATGTCCACCAGTTAACCCCACTCTAAGATACTTGCCAATACAATTAGCTTAGAAAAAGAGGGTTGGGTGTGGTGGCTCACACCTGTAATCCCAGCACTTTGGGAGGCTGAGGCAGACGGACTGCTGGAGCCCGTGAGTTTCATACTTTCCAGGGCAACATGGTAAAACACCATCTCTAAAAAAAAACACAAAAATTTGGCCAGGTGTGTTGGCTCATGCATGTAATCCCAATACCTTGTGAGGCAGAGGCAGGAGGATCACGTGAGCCTGAGGAGTTTCAGACTAGCCTGGGCAACATGGTGAAACCCCATTTCTACCAAAAATACACAAAAGAAATTAGCCAGGCATGATGGTGTGCACCTGTAGACCCAGCTACGCAGGAGGCTGAAGTGAGAGAATCACTTGAGTCTGGAAGGTTGAGGCTGCAGTGAGCCATTATCACAGCACTGCACTCCAGCCTGAGCAACAGAGTGAGACTCTGTCTCAAAAAAAAAAAAGGAAAGAGGCCAGGTGCGGTGGCTCATGCCTGTAATCCCAGCACTTTGGGAGGCCAAGGCAGGTGGATCACCTGAGGTCAGGAGTTCGAGATCAGCCTGGCCAACATGGTGAAACCTCGTCTCTACTAAAAATACAAAAATTAGTCAGGCATGGTGGCAGGCACCTGTAATCCCAGCTACTCGAGAGGCTGAGGCAGGAGAATCACTTGAACCCAGGAGGCAGAGGTTGCAGTGAGTGGAGATCATGGCACTACACTCCAGCCTGGGTGACAAAGTGAGACTCTGTCTCAAAAAAAAAAAGAATAGAAAAAGAAATTGAAGAATAAATGGAATTAGAAAAGAGAAGGTAAGAGTATTATTATTGGCCAGGTGTGGTGGCTCACACCTGTAATCCCAACATTTTGGGAGGCAGAGGCGGGTGGATCACCTGAGGTCAGGAGTTCAAGATCAGCCTAGACAACATGGCGAAACCCCATCTGTATTAAAAGTACAAAAATAAGCCAGGTGTGGTGGCACATGCCTGTAATCCAAGCTGCTCTGGAGGCTGAGACATGAGAGTCGCTTAAACCTGGGAGGTGGAGGTTGCAGTGAGCCAAGATTACGCTACTGTACTCCAGCCTGGGCAACAGAGCAAGACTCTGTCTCAAAAAAAAAAAAAAAAAAAAAGAGTATTATTATAGTATTTGGTATAGGTATAAGTCTGGGAAATCCAAGAGAATCTACTGCAAAACTATTAAACCAAAAGCAAATTAAGTAAAGTGGCAGGGAATTAAGTTAACATTCCCAAATCAATTATGTGTATATATACCAATTGCAATTAGAAAATAAAATGAAAGAAAGCTTAGCATTATTAAAATATCAGCCAGGGGCAGTGGCTCACACCTGTAATCCCAGCACTTTGGAAGGCCGAGGTGGGGAGATCATGAGGTCAGGAGTTCAAGACCAGCCTGGCCAATATGGTGAAACCCCGTCTCTACTATAAATACAAAAATTAGCAGTGTGTGGTGGCAGGCACCTGTAGTCCTAGCTACTCGGGAGGCTGAGGCAGAAGAATCGCTTGAACCTGGGAGGCAGAGGTTGCAGTGAGCCGAGATAATGCCACTGCACTCCAGCCTGGGCAACAGAGCAAGACTCTATCTAAAAAAAAAAAAAAAAATTATTCATAAATCAATCTAGAAGTTCAATGTGATCCCAATTAAAAAAAAACCCAAGTTTTTTTTAACTAGGCAAGTCAATTTCTAAATTTGTAAGTAAAAACATATGAATAAGAGTAGCCAGAGAACTCCTAAAAAGAAGACTAATGAGGGAGAAACAGCCCAACCAGACAGTAAACCTTACTATAAAGACACAGTAATTAAAACTGTGTGCTATTGGCACATCAGTACATCAGGGGAACAGAATAGAGTCCAAAAGTTGTCCTGAAACATATGGGAATTTACTATATAATGAAGATGGCAGTTTATACCAGTGAGAAAAAGGTGGATGATTTTTAAGATGGAGCTAGGACCAACAATCTGCCATCAGAAAACAAAGCTGGATCTCAATCTCACTATATATGCCAATAAATTACAAATCAATCAGATTTAAACCACAAAATACTCAAACAATAAAGCTCTAAAAAGGGGAAGAGCTGGGCGTGGTGGCTTACGCCTGTAATCCCAACACTTTGGGGGCCAAGGCAGGAGGGTTGTTTGAGTCCAGGAGTTTGAGACCAGCCTGAACAACATGGTGAAACCTCATATCCACAAAAAATATATATATGTATGTGTGTGTGTATATATGCATATATGCGTATATATGCGTATATACACGCATATATGCGTATATATGCGTATATATACGCATATATGTGTATAATGTACATATATGTGTATGTGTATATATGTACATATGTGTGTGTACATGTGTGTATGTGTGTACATATGTAATGTGTGCATGTGTACATATGTAATATGTGTGTGTGTGTGTGCGTATGTACATGTGTGTGCGTGTGTACATATGTGCATGTGTGTACGTATGTACATGTGTGTAGATATGTACATATATGTATACATGTGTATGTGTGTACATATATGTGTGTATGTGTGTATATGTACATATGTGTATATATGTACATATGTGTGTGTACATATATGTGTATATGTATTTATATATGTATATATGTGTGTATATGTGTGTATATATGTATATATGTGTATATGTGTATATATGTGTATATATATGCATAAAGGGGAAAAGATAATGAATTTTCATATCTCTGAATGGGGAAAGCATTCCTAAACATGACATAAGACCTAGAAACCATTTTTTAAATGATAAATCAATCTACATAAAAATCTGATATGGCTCAATAGACATCATAAACAAGTTCAAAGGACAAACAAAGAAAAATAATTGCAACTCATATGATAGGTAAGGGTGTTTTTTTTTCTTAGCATGTATATAATAAGCTCCCATAAAATAAGAAAAATGACAACATATAGTTTACAGAAAAAGCAAACAAATGGCTCGCAAACATATGACAAGATGCTCAACCTCACTCATAAGATAAATGCAAATTCAAACCATACCAGCCACCCAACAACAGCAGATACACGTTCTTCTCAAGTGCACATGGAACATTCTCCAGGATAGACCATATGCTACACCATAAAACAAGCCTCAATAAATTTAAAAGGAGTGAAATCATACAAAGTATGTTTCCAACCACAATAGAATGAAGTAAGAAATCAATAACAGAAAGAAATTTGGAAAATTAAAATATGTGAAAACTAAACAACACGCTCCTCAATTACCAGTGAGTCAAAGAATAAATCACCAAAAAGCTTAGAAAATACTTTGAGATGAAAGAAAATGAAGATACAACATATCCAAATATATGGATGTGGTAAAAGAGAACTTAAAGGGAAATTTCTAGCTGTAAAATCCTATATTTTAAAAAAAGGAAACCGTCTAGATGTGGTGGCTCACGCCTGTAATCCTAGCACTCTGGGAGGCTGAGACAGGTGGATTGCTTGAGCTCAGGAGATGGTGAAATCCCCATCTCTAAAAAACACACACACACACACGAAAAATCGTCAGGCATGGTGGCACCTGCCGGTAGTCCCAGCTACTCGGGAGGCTGAGGCAGGAGGACTGCTCAAGCCCCGGAGTTCAGAGCTGCAATGAGCCATGATCGTGCCACTTACACTCCAGCCTGGGCAACAGAGCGAGACCCTCTCTCAAAAAATAGAAATAGGCCAGGTGTAGTGGCTCACACTTGTAATCCTAGCACTTTGGGAGACCAAGGGGGGGCGGATTGGAGGTCAGGAGTTCAAGACCAGCCTGGCCAACATGGTGAAACCCCATCTCTACTAAAAATACAAAAATCAGCCAGGCGTGGTGGCAGGTGCCTTGTAATCCCAGCTACTTGGGAGGCTGAGGCAAGAGAATTGCTTGAACCTGGGAGGTGGAGGTTGCAGTGAGCTGAGATCACACCATTGCACTCTAGCCTGGGCAACAAGAGTGAAACTCCATCTCAAAATAAGTAAATAAATAAAAATAAAAATAAGAAAGATTTCAAATCAATAACCTAAACTTCTACCTTAAGACACTGTGAAAAGAAGAGCAAACTAAACCTAAAGCTATACAAGGAAGGAAAGAATAAAAATTAGAGCAGAAATTAATGAAATAAAAAATAAAAAGCAATAGAGAAAATCAACAAAACCAAGAGGTGATTCTTTGAAAAGATCAACAAGATTGACAAACCTTTAGCTACACTGAACAAGAAAAAAAGAGAAGACTCAAATTACTAAACTCAGGAATGAAAGGGAAGACATTATTACTAACCTTAAAGAAACAAAGATTATAAGAGACTACTATGAATAATTCTATGTCAACAAACTAGATAACTTAGATGAAATTCCTAGGAAAAAAACACAAATTATCAAAAATAAGAAGAAATAGGCTGGGCACGGTGGCTCACGCCTGTAATCCCAGCACTTTGGGAGGCCAAGGCAGGCAGATCACCTGAGTTCAGGAGTTCAAGACCAGCCTGGGCCACACGTAAATGGTGAAACCCTGCCTCTACTAAAAATAAAAAATTAGCCGGGCGTGGTGGCACATGCCTGTAATCCCAGCTACTCAGGAGGCTGAAGCAGGAGAATTGCTTGAACCCAAGAGGCGGAGGTTGAGGTGGGCCGAGATGGCGCCATTGCACTCCAGCGTGGGCAACAAGAGTGAAACTCCGTCTCAAAAAAAAAAAAAAAGAAGAAGAAGAAGAAGAAGAAGAAGAAATAGAAAATTCAAATAAATCTAAAGCAAGTAAAGAGATGGAATTATTAATTTTAAATCTTCTCACAGAAGCAGCCCAGGCCCAGATAGCTGGACTGGTGAATTCTACCAAATTTTTAAAGAAGAAATTATACCAGTTCTTCTCTAGGAAACACTTCCCAACTCATTTTCTGAAGCCGGTATTACCCCGATACCATAACCACACAAAGACATCACAAGAAAAGAAAATTACAGACCAATGACTTTTATGAAAATGAATATATATATTACATGTATATAAATCTTCTACAAAATACTAGAAAACTGGATCCAGCAACATATGAAAAGAATTAGATGCCATGACCAAGTAAGACCGATGTCAGGAATATAAAGTCGGTTTAACTTTTTTTTTGAGACGGAGTCTTTCTCTGTCACCCAGGCTGGAGTGCAGTGGCACGATCTCGGCTCACTGCAACCTCCACCTCCTGGGTTCAAGCGATTCTTGTTCCTCAGCCTCCCAAGTAGCTGGGATTACAGGTGCCTGCCAGCACAGCCGGCTAATTTTTGTATTTTTAGTAGAAACAAGGTTTCGCCATGTTGGCCAGGCTGGTTTCGAACTCCTGACCTCAGGCAATCCTCCCGCCTTGGTCTCCCAAAGTGCTGGGATTACAGGCGTGAGGTACCAAGCCCAGCCAAAGTTGGTTTAACTTCTGAAAATCGATTAATGTGATACACTATACCAATATAATAAAGGTCAAGAACCAGGTAATAATTCTAATACATGTAGAAAAAAGCATTTGACAAAATTCAACACTCCTTCATGACAAAAACGATAGAAGGGAACCTCCTCACCCAGATAAAAAGCAGCAATGAAAACCTCACGGCTAGGCCGGGTGTGGTGGCTCACACCTGCAATCCCAGCACTCTGGGAGGCCGAGCCGGGTGGATCACCTGAGGTCAGGAGTTAGAGACCAGTGTGGCCAACATGGTAAAATCTCATCTCTACTAAAAATACAAAAATTAGCTGGGTGTGGTGGCAGATGCCAGTAATTCCAGCTACTCAGGAGGCCGAGGCAGGAGAATCGCTTGAACCCAGGAGGCAAAGGTTTCAGTTAGCCAAGATCGCACCACTGCACTCCAGCCTGGGTGACAGAGTGAGACTCCCATCTTAAAAAAAAAGAAAAAGAAAAGAAAGAAAAGAAAAAAGAAAAAGAAAACCCCAGAGCTAACATCCTACTTAACGGTAAAAGACTGCGTGCCATCCCCCCAAGATCAGAAATGAAAAGAATATCTACCCTCACCACTTCTATTCAAGATTGTACTGGAGCTTCTAGCCCGGACAATTAGGAACGAAAATGAAACATAAGGCATCCAGATTAGAAAGGAAGAAGGAAAACTCTCTTTTTTTGCAGATAATATGATCTTATATATAGAAAATCCTAAGAATTCCACCAAAAAATCAGTAGAACTAATAAATGAGTTCAGCAAGGCTGTAAAGTACAAAATCAATACACAAAAATACATTGTATTTCTATAGGTTGGCAATGAAGAATCCAAAAATAAAATTAAGAAGGAAATTTATGATAGCATCAAAAGAATACTTAGGAAAAAGATTAATGAAAGTATAAAACTTATACTCCGAAAACTACAAAAAAATTTTGAAAGAAATGGAAAGACATCCCGTGTTCATGGCTCAGAAGCCTAAATATTATTAAGATGGCAATACTCCCCAATTGGTCTGCTCCCTATCAAAGTCCCAGCTAGTTTCTTTGCCAAAATTGACAAACTGATCTTAAAATTCATATGGAAAGTCATGGGACCCAGAATAGCCAAACAGTCTTTAAGAAAAACAAAGTTTGAGGACTCACACTTTTCAATTTCAAAACTGTAAAACAACAGTAACAGCATGGTACTGGTATAAGTGTAGACTTATAAACCAGTGGAGGGGAATTCAGAGTCCAAAAGGAAACAATCACATTGACAGTCAATTGATTTTATGCAAGGGTGCCAAGACAATTCAAGGGAGAAGAAGCTGGACACCTTCCTCAAATCCTGCATAAAAATCAACACAAATTGGATCACAAACCTAAATGAAAGAGGTAAAAATAAAAAACTCTCATAAGAAAATATAGGCATAGCCGGGCGCGGTGGCTCACGCCTGTAATCCCAGCACTTTGGGAGGCCGAGGCGGGCGGATCACGAGGTCAGGAGATCGAGACCATCCCGGCTAAAACGGTGAAACCCCGTCTCTACTAAAACTACAAAAAATAGCCGGGCGTAGTGGCGGGCGCCTGTAGTCCCAGCTACTTGGGAGGCTGAGGCAGGAGAATGGCGTGAACCCGGGAGGCGGAGCTTGCAGTGAGCCGAGATCCCGCCACTGCACTCCAGCCTGGGCGACAGAGCGAGACTCCGTCTCAAAAAAAAAAACAAAAAAAAAAAAAACAAAAAAAAAAAAAAAAAAAAAAAAAGAAAATATAGGCATAAATGTTATGACCTTGGATTATGATTTCTTTTTTTGTTTGTTTGGTTGGTTTATTTGTGTTTGTTTGTTTATTTGTCTGTTTGTTTTGAGACGGAGTCTCACTCTGTTGCCCAGGCTGAAGTAAAATGGTGCGATCTCAGCTCACTGCAACCTCCGCCTCCCGAATTCAAGTGATTGTCCTGCCTCATCCTCCTGAGTAGCTGGGATCACAGGTGCCCGCCAGTGCGCCTGGCTAATTTTTGTATTTTTAGTAGAGACGGGGTTTCACCATGTTGGCCAGGCTGGTCTCTAACTCCTGACCTCAGGTGATCCACCCGCCTCGGCCTCCCAAAGTGCTGGGATTACAGGTGTGAGCCACCGCACCTGGCCAGATTATGATTTCTTAAATACAACACCTAGAGCACAAGCAACAAAAGGAAAAATAAACTGCACTTCATCACAATTAAAAACTTCTGTTTTCCAAAGAACAACATCAAGAAAATAAAAGTACAACCCACAGAATAGGAGAAAATATTTGCAAATCATATATCTGACAAGAGACTTGTATCTACAATATATAAAAATCTCTTACAGTGGCTCATGCATGTAATCCCAGTGCTTTGGAAGCCAAGACAGGAGGATCTCTTGAGGCCAGGAGCTTGAGACCGGCCTGGGAAACATAGTGAGACCCCTACTAAAACTTTTTTAAAAATTAGCCAGGCGTGGTGTTGCATGCCTGTGGTCCTAGCTACTCAGGAGGCTGAGATGGGAGGATTGCTTGAGCCCAGGAATTTGAGGTTACAGTCAGCTATGATCACAGCATTGCTCTCCAGCCTGGGTGGCAGAGTAAGATCCTATCTCTACAAAATTAAAAAAAAAAAAATTAAGTCAGGCATGGTGGCATGCACTTATAGTCCTAGGTACTTGGGAGGCTGAGGCAGGGTGATCACTTGAGGCCAGGACTTTAAGACTAGCCTGGGCAACATAGTGAGACCCTGTCTCTAAGGAAAAAAATAGATTACATTAATCATAAAAATAGGCAAAGAACTTGAATAGACATTCCTCCAAAGAAGATATACAAATTGCCAATAAGCACATGAAAAGATGCTTAATGTCACTAGTAATTAGGGAAATACAAATCAAAACAGCCAAGTACAATGGCACATGCCTGTAATCCCAGCACTTTGGGAGGCTGAGGTGCGAGGATCACTTGAGCCCAGGAGTTCGAGACCAGCCTGGGCAACACGGTGAGACCCCATCTCCACAAATTTAAAAAAAAAAAAAAATTAGCCAGGCGTGGTGGCACACACTTTTGGTCCCAGCTGCTTGGGAGGCTGAGATGAGAGGATTGTTAGAGCCCAAGAGTTTGAGGTTGCAGTTAGCCTTGGCAACAGAGTGAGACCCTGTCTCAAAAAAAAAAAAAAAAAAAATCAAAACCACAATGAGATGCCACTTCACAGACACTAGGATGGATGGCTAGAATCTAAAAGACAAATGTTGGCAAGAATGTGGAGAAATTGGAACCCTCAGACATTGCTGATGGGAATGTAAAATGGTGCAGCTGCTTTGCAAAACAGTCTGGCAGTTCCTCAAAAAGTTAAACACGGAATTACCATATGATCTAGCAATTCTACTCCTAGGTACACACTCGAAAGAAATGAAAAACATATGTCTATACAAAAACTTGTGCATGAATGTCCAGAACAGCATTACCCATAATAGCCAGAAAGCCCAAATGTCCATCAACTGATGAATGGATAAATAAAATATGGTATATCCATATGATAGAATATTATTTGGCAAGAAAAAAAAATGAAATATTGATCCATGCTACAACATGAGTGAATCTTGAAAACATTATGCTAAGTGAAAGAAGCCAGCCACAAAAGAGCACACTTGAATGATTCCATTTCTATTAAATGTCCAGAATAGGCAAATCTATAGAAACAGAAACTAGATTAGTTGCTGCCTAGGCCTAGGGAAGGGAAGTTTAGGGGGAAGTGGGGAGTGACTGTAATGGGTGAAGTTTCTTTCTGGAGTAATGAAAATGTTCTAAATTTGACTGTGGTGACGATTGTACAATTCCGTGACTCTACTAAAAACCACTGAATTGTATACTTTAAATAGATAAATTGTATGGTATGGGAATTTTATCTCAGTAAAGCTGTGATACACATTTTTCAAATAAACTACACTGGGGGCCACTGTTCACCTATCAGATTGGCAAATTGCACTTATGCAATTTATGCTGGTGAGAGTGAGGAGAACAGAGGGCGTGGTGACACCAGCACAATCTCTCTGAAAGACAATTTGGCAATACCTATCACAATTACACACCCACCGGCCCTGCAAGGTGGAATTGATCCTAAAAGAACACACAAACACAAGGCATATGATTGAGGATATTCATTTGTGGAATTGTCTAGAACAAGCAAAAGCCTGGAAACAACCAAAATATCTGTCCTTAATTAAATAAAGTGTGACTACCATACATGCAGTGGAATACTACGCAACCATGAACAAGAAAAGTGCAGCACAAATAAATGATCTCTGAGGTACACTGTCAAGAGAAAAAAGTCAATTGTGTGTGTTGGACAGGGTAGAGTGTGTGCTATCATTTGTCTAAAAAAAAAAAAAATTCTGGCCAGGGATGATGGCTCATACCTATAATCCCAGTACTTTGGGAGGCCAAGACAGGAGGATTGCTTGAGCACAGGCATTCGAGACTAGCCTAGGCAACATAGTGAGACTCTGTCTCTACAAAAAAATAAATAACTGGCTGGGTGTGGTGCATGTGCCTGCAGTCCCAGCTCCTTGGGACACTGAGGTGGGAGGATCGTTTGAGCCCAGGATTTCGAAGCTACGGTGAGCATGATTGTGACACTGCACTACAGCCTGGGCAACAGAGTAAGACCCTGTCTAAGAAAAAAAAAAAATTCTTTGCAAATATGTAATATTGAGTCAAGTGCAGAAGCTAAAAATATCAACACCTGGCATTCCCATCATTATTGAAATTCACATTATGCTAAAAAAATTGTTAATATACATGCTTATATATGCTTGGATCTCCCTGGAAGGATACACCAGAAATTTTTTCAAGTGGTTGCCTCTGGCAAGGAGACCTGGGTGTGAGAGAGGCTTACTTTTCCCTGTCGTGTGTGTGTGTGTGTGTGTGTGTGTGTGTGTGTGTGTGTGTGTGTGTGTGTTGATGTCTTTTCTTTCCTTTTTAAGAAAAAACACAGGCTTACCTGGTTTCAAATCCTGGCTCTGTCTCTCATAGCTGGGCAAGTTGCTTCACTTCTCTGAGCTTCTGTTCTCTGTTCTGTAAAGGGAGGGACAATAGGATTAATATCCACCTTGTGAGGTTGGTGTGGAAGATGAAATAAGACAGCACAAGCTCAGGGCCTCCCCCTGTGCCTGGCTCCTAGCAAGTGCACAGTCCCTGTTTGCCATTCATCTGTTACTATGGACACGGCAGTGCACTGTAACAGGGACCACCAGAGAGCCTCAGAGCAAGTGTTCCAAGGACCAGCATCTCCTCTGGCTGGGAGAAACTGGGAAAGGCTTCCTAGGGGAGGCAGCATTTGCGAAGGGCTTCGAGGACAAGGATTTCCACAAGTAGAGATGAATGGGGGCCACATTCTTGGCAAAGGGGGCTACACAAGCAAGAGGCCGGGAGTGGGAAAGCCCGGGACAGCCACTCAGTGGTGCACTCCTGGGCTTCTCCAACAAGATTTAGCTGAGCACCTACTGCGCCCCAGATGCCGTAGTGGGAAAAACAGTCAAAAGCCATGTGGCTGGGCTGGCCGAGGGAGGAACTACTGAAAGTATCGTGACAAGGATAACGAGGGGCCAGGTCCACGTGCTCATAGAGCAGGCCAGGAAATGGAGGCTCAGAAAGGGAGAGGGGCCATCCAAGATCACACAGCAGGTTCCCAATTTCTGAACATAGCCTCTCTCAGCTCCACCCTCTCCTTGTCCCCTAGACCTGGAGAAGAGAAAGTCCAGAGGGGTCCTCCTGCCACGCCCTCATCACGGGGTGGACACAGAGGCCAAATAAACCAGGGGCCCCACAAGGAGGAGGGACAGTTGGTCCTCAGAGGATAACAACAGCTACGGCGTCACCATCACGGTGCTCCTGGGTGGCGGGCACCATGCTTACGAGCTCAGTGAACCACCCCAACCCTCTGTGGTGGGCTCTGATTTGCAGATGAGGAAACTGAAGCACAGAGAGGCGGGGCTGCTTGCCTGATGTCACACAGCTCATAAGACACAGCACCAGGAGGCAAACCCAGACTATCTGGGTTCCACCGTCTCGTACCCCAGAGCCCATTCCTCAAAGGAGGCCCCGGCAGGGCATCTATCAGTGATCGCATCCTCTCAGAAGGGCCCAGGGTGGAAGCTGTTCTCAGCCAGTCCTGGAATGCCTCCTGATAACAGTACCCCAATGGCAGGGGAGAGGTGGGAGGCGGGGCAGGGAAGAGCAGTGGTGGGTGTAGTATCAGGCCTGTGCGGGGATGGAGGGGGAAGGCGGTGGGCAGGGACTTGGCCCATTAGCAGCCATCCTCTCCCTGATGGGAGAGCCGAAGGACTTGTCAGGCACCTGCCATGCACCACGCTCATCACACCATCGCACAGATGAGGAAACTGAAGCACAGACAGGTTAAATGGCGTGCCTGAGATCCCAACTCTTAGCAGCCGAGTGACAATCCCTAACGCTCTGCATGTCTCCCTAACCGGGACGGCCACCCAGAGCCCCTGGGAACCGCCCAAGGAAGGAGCCTGGGCTCCTCTTGGCAAAACCCAATGTCACCAGCTGCTCTGGTCCAGGCGGGGGTGGAATGGGGTGTGCTGATGGGGGTGCAGAAACCCACACTTCTCCCCTTCACATCCTCCCGCCCGGGGTTCACGCTCCCCTCCAATGTTCCCAGCAGCCCTGTAGCAAGCTGTGGCCACACTCGTTTTACATACAAGGCCACAGGGGCCCCAGGAGGCTGCCCCAGCCAGAAGGCAGACAGCCAGGATACCAGCCAGATCCGAGGGACACCAGAGCCCATCCTACCCCACCTCCCCTGTGAGGAGCACAGCAAGGGCGACCCAGGAGGGAGCCTGGGTGCAGAGGCGCAGGCGGACCAGGGTGCCAGGTGGGCAGGGCCTTGTTCAGAGCGAGGTCTGGCCAGAGTGTGTTCCGGTATAACTGGGTCACTGCTGGCCCTTGGCCTAGGCACGAGGGGGCCCGGGGAAGACCCTGAGAGGGATATGTTCAATGCAAGTCACGAAGGCCTGCAAAACTGAGAGCAGGGCCAGGAAGCTTTTCTCAGGCCCCTGGGAGCCGGCGGTCAGAGAACAGTGGCCCTTCCCACAGTGTCTTGTCAGGGACCGTCATCTCCAGCTCCAAAGGGCCAGAGGGGCAAGAGGAGACACCTAAACCATGGTGGCCTTCCCAGAGGAGGGGGTATCTCAGCTGAGGCCCAAAGGCTAGGCGGTTTGTGAAGAGAGGGTGGGGAGTGTGATCCAGGCAGGTGGGATGGCTTTGACAGGGCCTGCAGCTGGGACCGCTTAGAGAAAGGCGAGGGAGCTATGTCAATTTCAGTCCTGCAGCCTCAGTTTCCTCAGCGGCAAAATGGGGGAAAGACTGGCACACCAGGGTGGCGCTCTCTTCCCTATACCCACTTCCCACCATCTCTCCCTCCTCCGAGCCCCCACACCCTGGAGTGAGGTCACTGAGAAGGAGACAGCATCTAGGGACTGGTGAGTTGGAGGGGTTAGGAGGCTTCGCAGACCCCCCCACCCCACCCCAGGAACCATCCCAGAGTCTGTCACCAGGCCGCCCCGTAACGGGGTGGGTAGGGCAGCTCACAAGGCCAGGGGGTCACAGCCTCAACCCCCAGGAGCTTTCGTGGGCCCTTCTCCTTGGCAGCTGAGGAGGCTAAGGCTCAGAGAAGGGGGCTGCCGGGCCTTGGTCACACAGCAAGACCAAGGCCTGCCCTGGAATGAGGGTGTGGGCTGGGGGCAATGGCACTGAGGATAAGATTCTTGGGGCACCAGGCCCCAGAGCACTGAGCTGAGGAGAAACTGGAAGAGGAGACAGAACCTTGGGGCCCAGCCTGCTGAGGGCTAACCACCACGTGGCTGAATGGAAGGCTTCCATGAGAATCACTGTGCGGCCAGGAGCAGTGGCTTGCACCTGTAATCCCAGTGACTCAGGAGGCCAAGATGGGAGGATCGCTTGAGGCCAAGAGTTTGAGACCAGCCTGGGCAACAAAGTGAGACCCCCATCGCTACAAAAAAAAAATAGAAAAAAAATGTAACCGGTCATGGTGGTGCCCAAGAGTTCCAGCTACTCAGGAAGCCGAGGTGGGAGGATTGCTTGCACCCAGGAGTTTGAGGCTGCAGTGAGCTATGATTACACCACTGCACTCCAGCCTGGGCAACAGAGTGAGACCTTGTCTCAAAAAAATAAATAAAGACATAAATAAGAGCTAACCTGGGCTTCAGCATCTCTGCCTGCACACAGAGACCCCAGCATCTCTACCTGCACACAGAGACCCCAGCATCTCTACATCTCTACCTGCACACAGAGACCCCGGCATCTCTACCTGCACACAGAGACCCCGGCATCTCTACCTGCACACAGAGACCCCGGCATCTCTACATCTCTACCTGCACACAGAGACCCCGGCATCTCTACATCTCTACCTGCACACAGAGACCCCGGCATCTCTACCTGCACACAGAGGCCCTCAGCAGCACTCCTGCCCTGCCCCTGCTCAGTGTCAGGAGAGGATCACAGAGAACACTGAGGTGGCAAGTTTTGCTCTCTCCCAGCCGTAGGTCATCTTTCCGAGAGCCCCCAGCTGCCCCACCCCTGATGGGTGATGGCTGATGTGCCTTGTGGAGATGGCCGCCAGCCGGCCCCTGCCCATGGCACCCACTGTTCCCTGCCAGCTGCTTTGGGAACACACAGTGCCCCCTCCTCCCCGCCCACACCCATGCAGTATCTCCCTCCAGGGACACTGGTGGGCAGGAGCGCCTAGTGGCCAGGGCCCTCCACACGGCCCAGCCTGAGCCCCAAACCCACCCCCTGGCCCCGTTCAAGCCTGCAGGTGGCCTGCCCCTGGCTGTGTGGTCACAGGAAGGTCAGCCTGCCTTTACTCATCCATGAAATGGGTCTCTGGCAGGTATCAGAGGGAGGAGAGGGCATCCGAGACAGGCTGGGGACGGGTGATCGTAAGATGATAAAAACGATCGACACTCCAGCCTGGTGATCACAGGACCAAGGCCAAACTTGGATGGAGGGGGCCTGCCGCAAGCTCCCATCCCTTGACCCTCCCTTAAACTCGTAACTACCCTCTAGCTTCCAAGCCTTTGCACATATTCTTCCCCCCCTAAGCTCCACCACCCACCTCCCCTTTCACTGCCCCACCATGAACTACAGTGTACCCTTTCGGCCTGACCACAGGCAGTACCTGACCTTGCCTGCCCCCCCACAAGCTGAGAGAGGGACCGCCACCCTTTTCTGGGCTAATGTAGCCTCCACCACATAGGGATTAAGAGCTAGACTACCAGGATTCAAAACCTAGCTCTGGCCCTTCCTTGCTGTGTGACCTTGGGAAAGTTACTCCACCTCTCTGTGCCTCCACTGCCTCTCCTGTCAAATAGTGATACACATCATCTACCTCAAAGGACTGTTGTGAGGATTAAATAAGTTTATATCTGTGAAGCACACAGGACTGGACCCAGACCCTAGCAAGTGTGCCCTAAGTGTTTGCTATCAGTCAAAAGAGTAGGAGCAGCTATTCTTTGTTGAGCACCTACTATGTGCCGGGCCTATGCTAGGCATCCTACTTGAATGATCTCACAATAGCATGACAGCGGGGGCTATTATGAACCTCGCTTTATGGCAAGGAGGGGGAAGTCCAGAGACATCAGTTGCACCATCAAAATATATCTGGGAGAGGAGGGGATTTTTGCTGATATTAAGAAGTTAGGCCATTAGATGGTGGCTCACGCCTGTAATCCAGCACTTTGGGAGGCAGAGGCAGGAGGATCACTTGAGTCAGGAATTGACTCAGGAATGACCAGTCTTGGTAACATAGAGAGACCTCATCACTACAAATTAAAAATTTTAAAAACTAGCCAGGTGGGGTGGTATGCGCCTGTAGTCCCAGCTACTCAGGAGGCTGAGGTGGAAGGATCGCTCAAGCCCAGGAGCTTGAGGCTGCAGTGAGCTGTAATTGCACCACTGCACTCCAGCCTGGGTGACAGAGTGAGACCCTGTCTCACCAAAAAAAAAAAAAAAAAAAAGAGAGAGAGAGAAAGAGAAAGAAATTGTTCACATTTTTTACATGGACTTTAGTTTTATGGCTACTTTTTAAACACAAGAGTCCTTGTCTTTTAGAGATACACACTGAAATATTTCACACGTGAAATAAGATGCCTGTCATTTGCTCTAAAATGACACAAGATAGGATGGGATAGAACAGGTGTGGAGGAGGCAGGACTGGCCATGGGTAGTGGTGCTTGGCTCAGCGATGGGTTCATGGGGTTCATTCTATGAACATGCCTCCAGAATAGAGTGGGAAAAGCAAGATTAACTTAAATGATGCAAAGAAAAAAAAAATGCTTGGCCCTTTGACCCTCCCAATAACTACGCCCAGACTGAGCGAACCGCCACCCCCTAGACTAAGGCAGCAGCCACCTCACTGGTCCACCCACCTCCACCCTCAGCCCCCAGTCTGCTCTTCACACAGCAGCCAGGTGCACCCAGGACCCTCGTGTGACCCCATCTCGCTCCAAGTCCAAAGCCTGCGTTTTAGATGGCTCAGGTGCCCTCCCTGATCCGCCCTCCTCTCTCCATTCTTCCCCTGTTCTTCCCCTTTCTCACTCTGTTCCCCTGGCCCCCTCCAGTTCCACCAGCACTCCAGGCTCTCCCCTGCCTCGGGGTCTCCCCACTGGCTGTTCCCTCCCCAGGGAGCTGCATGGCTCCTCCCTCCCCTCCTTTGTTGTGAGCTTCTTTGAGGTGTGAAGCCTTCCCTGGCCACCATCTAATTGCGACCCATCCTCCACGAGCCCACCAGCAGGCCCACCCGCTTCCCTGCATTATGGATTCGTGGCCCTTACCGCCTTCTTACGGGCTGTGTGTGCAGTTTCCTTATTTGTTGTGTTCTTCTGTCTCCCCCTCTAGAATGTGAGCTTTGCAAAAGCAGGGATCTTTGGTTGGTTCCTTGCTATCTGCAGCTCTAGAACATTGTTGAGCACAGAAAATATTTGTGGGATGGATAGACCGACGGATGGGCCCCACCTAGGGCCCCACAGGAATAAGAGGTGGCAGCCCTCGGCCCCAGATCTGTCCAGTCCCACAGCCTATGCCCCACCACTGTGCCCTCCTGCCACCTGCCTGGTCCATCTCTGCGGCAGAGCTTCTGCCCACCCTGGCTTACACAGGGCAGAAGCAAGTCTGAGACAACTCCAGGCCCTGATCCCCACCCAGCATGGCCCAGGCCAGGAACTGAGGTCCCAGAGGATGTTTGCTGAGTGAGCAAAGAGTGAGTGAAGAGTGAGCAAGGGGCCGTGCGCGTGCCAGGGCAGCCAGGACATGCCTGGTCCCGTGTCCGCGGCGCGAACATGCTCAGGGACAGTAGACTCAAACCGGCTCTGCCAGTGGGGCTGGGGTGGAGACGGCAGGCCGGGGCGGACACCGGCAGACATGGAGGGGTGCACTGGGGACGGGGCCTGCAGCCCAGAAAGGGCAGAAGCCCAGCAGGGGGGCCACGGAGCTCCTACCAAACTCACGCCCTGGAGAGCACAACTGTCCCAGCCCTGACCGCTCTTCTGCTTCCTCCCAGGCAGAAAAGGGGCCTCTATCAGACCCCAATCCCTGGCCTGCACTGTAGGGGACTGGATCCCTTCCCAATGGGACCTGTGCAGGGCCTGGAAGCCCTCCAAGGAAGCGTACTGCCTGGAAGTGGGTGGCGCCTGAAGAGGGCAAGGAGAGGTGAGCCCTGGGCTGTGCAGAGACCACCCGGTACGGAAACCCTGATCTGTCCCAAGGTGCTGGGGAGACTTGAGTGAATCCACGAGCCCTTCTGGACTCAGTTTCCCTGTGTGGAAAGTGGTGTTGGGTATGGATTCCAGGACTGTGAATCCCAAGGTGCTGAGTTACCTGAAAGGGGCCACTCAGCCCTCCAGCCCCTTCCCAAAGCCCAGCTCTGGGGTGACCACGGCCAGAGCCCGGGCCCACACACATGCCCTTACTCCCCACAAAAACAACAGCGATCAAAATCCTTACTAACTACTGAACACATGGCGTATGCAGGACATCAGTTCGGCACTTCACACTCAGTCTCATCGGCTCCTCCTGCCAGCACTGTGGGGTAGGGACCGTTACTGTGCCCAGCCTCCTCCTCTCAGGCTGGCTAATACAGAGCAGGGAACCCTTCTGAAATGTCAGTTTGAACCCTTCGTTCCTGCTTAATACCACCCACAGAACCCACACTCCTGACACAAAGGCCAAAGTCGTCACAGGGGCCTCCAAGGCCCTCAGTGGCCTCCACCAACCCCATCCCTCCCCTCGCTCTACTCCATCCACACCAGCCGCCTGCCCCTTCCCTGAAAAGCCAGCACACTCCTGCCTCAGGGCCTTTGCACCTGCTGTTCCTGCACTGGCAGCACACTCCACCCTCACCTACACCCTCACTCCCTTGCCTCCTTCAGGTCTTCAGGACTCAGCCATCTGCTCAGACAGGCCTTGCTCGACCACCTGTTTCTTGATACACCCAGCCAACTCTGCTCTCCAAGTCTCAGCTCCAAAGCCACTTCCTCACAGAAAGCCTCCCTCAAACCCCAGTCCAAGTGAGGATCTTCAACTTCTGCTTCCTAGCATGGACCGACCACAGCTCTGATGACATAACTCACTGTGTGAGAACCTGTCTCACGGGGACGGGGGCCACTTCTGTCTTCCCTATAATTTAATACTCTGCAGCAGGTGTAATATTCAAAACAATGAACAGCTGGGATGCTTGGGTACCAGTGGGTCAGAACAGACACTGGCCAAAGGCACACAGCCTAGCATGGAGTGAGTACCTGATCATGGATGGATGGATGGATGGATGGATGGAAGAGCAAGCAGGGCACCCACAGTAGGCCTGGGACTTGCCTGAGAAGGTGGCCCAGAGAAGAGAAGGGCCCATCCGAGCTCACAGCCAGATGTTGGCCAGGGCAGCTGTAGCCAGCCCAGCCTGTCCTCCTGCACAGCCCGACTTTCGTTTCCCACCCTCTGTGTCTGAGGAAGCTCCTTCTCCCCAGGGGAACTGAGTGAAGAGAAGGGGCAAGCAGTCCCCTGCTCCCCAAGGACAGGGGCTCTCAAGCTCCATCCGCCCTCCACAAAGGGGCTTTGTCCTCTGTGCTGAGAGCCCAGGGTAGACCGGAAGCCGCCCCCCACAGCCCAGCAAGTCTCAGTCCCCGAGCCGGCTGGGGCAACAGCTCTAGACACAGACCCACGAGGCGGGCAGAGTGCTGGCACAGCTCTTCACAATATCATTTCACTCTCTCAGGAGCCGTAGGAGGGAAGCTCTAGTGTGACCCCCATTTTTGCGGATGGGGAAACTGAGGCTCTCAAAGGCCAAGGTCTGCCAGCCAGCAGGTAACAAAGCCTGGATTCTAATCCAGGCCCATCTGGCACCAGTGCCAACAGCCACGGCTCTCAACTCCCCCTGTCTAGAGTCCAGACCCTCCAGGTTCAAGAGGGCAGAGGGGGTCTTTATGGAGGCAATCAGGCCTAGCCCTTCACCCACGTCGGGGAGCTTTGCCCTGGTGAGGTTTACCCAAAAAGGAAGGGAGGCCGGGCCCTAACCCCAGAGCCCTTGCCCAATGCCCCAGGCGCCTTGGGAATCTGCCAGTTGGGCTGCAACACGTCTCCACCACTTCCTGCCAGGCAGGCGTCTTCGAGGAAAGGATGGACAGGCAGAAGGACCCAGGGGCAGAAGCTCCCCACCCTGCCCCCCACCACTCCCCTGTCCATCCCAGACCTGGCCATTTCCCCTGCCAGTGCCTGCTTCTCTCCAGGCCCATCTGTTCTCAGTGCGGCCACCAGGGCCACCTCACTGAAGCCACACTGACCCTGACCCAGACACTACCCAGAATGTGGGATACATTACTCTCATCCAGTAGCCCTTCCTCACTGCCCGAGGAGCAGGCCCCCAGGCCCTCTACCCATTGGCACCAGCCAACTGACCCAAGTCAAGACTCCATGGCTCCTCAGACCTCCAAGAGGAGCTGCTCACAGGGCACCTTCAGGCCCTTTGTCAAGCTCTATCTCCCCTCAGAGGTCCCTCCCATCCTTCCGGTAAGTCAGGGTACCTCCTCCCCCAGGAAGTCTTCCCTGACCCACTCCCTCCAAGGCCCCAGGTCAGCCCCTACCTTTTGCCCCAGGGAGAGGTTTTAGATCCCTGTCTTGAACCCTGTGGGCTGCCTTTACTTGGCAAAAGTAATTGAGCCTCTGAGGCCGGTCTGATCCTTCTCTGTCCTCCACACCTGCAGCAAGAGTCTGGCCTCAACCTGCTCTGCTCTCATCACCCCCAGGCCCAAGCCTGAGTGCCCTGTGAGGGTTTGAGGCTCTGCCTGATCAGCCAAGCCACCTTCTAACCCCCTTGTACCTGGCCTGCTGCTCCCCACCTCCATGGCTATCCACACCGCCTGGCTACTTCCTACCCCCAGACATTTTTGCACACGGTCCCTTCTTCCCGGCCCACCCTCACCCTTCTTTTTTTTCTCATGAGCTCCTGCTCATCCTTTAAGATCCAGGCCAGGTATCACCTCCTCCGGGAAGCTCTCCTGGCATTGTGCTGGGTTGCCATAGTTCATATGGCCCCTACCCCATCGTGCCATAGGGAAATGACTGGAGTCTCTCTGGCTCCCCCAGAATATAAGCTATGTCCCAAGTACATCCTCAGGGTTCCCAGCACCCATCACAAGGCCCAGATATCACCGGTGGATAACAGAGAGTCCAGCTGCCAACTCCCTACCCAGAGAACCCAGGGGCAGAGCCCAGGAGCCACTCCCAGTGGCAGCACTGAGTCCTATTTTGCCCGCGATGCCCACAGCTCTAAGGTATGGGTGGAGTGGGCGGAGGGGGGAGCTCGCTGCAAATGGCCAACTGGTAACCAAACCCACTCCGTTTCTAAAACTAGGGCACAGGAGAGAAACGGGAACAGCAGTATTGTCCCCAAATAGAACTATGTCTCATCTGGTTCCGGGGCCTT
Organism: Homo sapiens; assembly: GCF_000001405.40. Lineage (NCBI taxonomy): Eukaryota > Metazoa > Chordata > Mammalia > Primates > Hominidae > Homo > Homo sapiens. The sequence continues at coordinate 264,765 of NW_025791812.1, read as the reverse complement.
CGGGAACACCTGGCGGGGTGGGGGTGGGGAGGGCAGGAGGCTGCTCCCGAGGCTTCAAACACAAATCTAAAGTTTAGAGGGCAGGGGAGTCAGCATCACCCAAAATCACCACAGTTGGCGCTGAGATCCTGCCCACTTCACCCAGCGCCAGTCCAAATCCCCACATTATGGGGTCCTCTCCCACTTCACCCACCTGGCTACAGGGTGCTCCCCAAACTGTGCCACCTCCAAGCCTGTGCTCACGTGTATCCTCTACCCAGGATGCTGCTCGCCCCTCCTGCCAGTCAGGATCCTACCCGTCCTCACAGCCGTACCCATTAACAGTGACACTTTCTATAAGCCTGGCATGGGGAGAATGAGCACATCAAGCCTTCCCAACAGCCCGGTGAGGAAGACTCCTTACCCCTTCTCATAGGTGGGAAAACCAAGGCTCAGAAAGAGAAGCCACCACCCGGGGCACGCGGCAGCAAAGGCAGGCAGACGCAGTGATGTGGCAGGATCTGGGTGCTGGCAACCACAGGGCACCCAGAAGGCCTGGTGGGGATTGGTGCAGTCTCCCAACCAGGCCCAGCCTTGAGGACTTGGCACAACTCAGGGACAAAGTCCACAAGGCACAGCCCTGGCCTCCCAGGCAGAATAAGAAGCCAGACCTCACCTCCCCGGCCCCTGCCCCTGCCCCTGCCTAGGGTGGCTTCTAAGAGACTGAGGAGACACACTGGCGGGATAAGATGGAACTGTCTCCCCAACGACATGCACAGAGCATGGCACAGATGAGAAAATTGAGTCCTGGAAGTCCGTCCCTGCAGCTGTTGAGTGCTGCCTCCAGGCCAGGCCTTGAACTAAATGCTTTATGGAGATGACCGTACCCAGTCCCCACCCCAGCCCCACCGGGTGCACACTTGTTACCCTCATTTCCCAGATAAAGAAACTGAGCCTCAGCGAGGGGAAGCAACTGACCCATAGTCCCAGGGCAAGCAGGTGGACAAGGAGGCTTCAACCCAAACTAAAGGCAAGAAATTAGGACCTTGATTGAGTCCCTTCTCAGGTTCTAGGCCTCAGTTTCCCCATCTGGAAAGCAGAATGCGCCCCAGGAGACTTCTGGCTGTGACATCACATTGTGACCTGGCGGATGCTATTTCCTTTCTCTCCATTTTCCCATCTGGATAACGGGGTGGTCTTTCCCTTCTTCCCCAGGTTAATACAAATTGCAATAAAATAACACGCACCGAGCACTTACTGTGTGCTGGCATTGCTGAGGGCGTTGGACACAAGACTTCATCCTTGCAACAAGCCCATGGAGTGGGTTCTACCACTAGGCTCATTTTTCAGATGGGGAAACTGAGGCACAGAGAGGTTAAACTGACTCACCAAAGCCACACAGCTAGTGGGTGACAGCAGTTGGGGGTAGAGGAGAAGTCTCCCTGTCTTCACGCTGCCCAGTGAGGAACTGTGGGGAGGGCTGGAGGGCTGATCAAGGGTCTGTGGAAGTAGAGAAGGGCTCAGCCCAGATGAGGCGGGGCAGGCCTGGCATGCCCAGGAAGCCCTGGGTTCAAATCCATGCACTGGATGACCTTGGGCAAGTCCCCTGGCTCCTGAGCTTCCTCTTTGGTGAAATGGGGCCGGGACCACTACCCCGCGAGGCTGCTGTGAGCATGAGACAACCATTTGCCTGGCACTGCAGAAGGGCTCAACTCCGTGCTGGAGGAATGAACGCTGGCTGAAGGGACCGCAAGGGCTCACGGTGGCTCATTGCTCCTTCAGGGTCCCGGGCGTGTCTGGTCCTCCCTTCAGAAGTGGGAGGAAAACTGGCCCAATCTGCCTCTTCTCTGATTTTTAGAAGGAACCCTCCAAGTCCCTTCAGGGCTGCGTGACCTCAGGCAAGTCACTTTACCTCTCTGAACCTCCAAATCCTCCTTTTGACAATAAGTCATGCTATTCACAGAGCTCTGGGAGAGGGGTCCCAGACTGAGGAGACGGGCTCAGTGGGGAAAGAGTCCAGTTCCATTTGCCCAAGCAGAGAGAGCACCTGGCATGACCCTGATTTGAGGTCACAGTTTCCTCATCTGCCACACAAAGTTTATTACGGTGGTTCTGTCTGTCTCAGCCCCGCTGGTGCTGGGGATGCACAGAGGTAACTGCGGAAAGTTCTTTGTAAACTGTAAAGGGCTGTGCCCTTGGGAATATGGTGATTACCATATTCCCTTAGAGGCAAAAAGAATCCTATGACTTGTCATCTAAGGCAGAATGTGTCAGAGCCATGAGGAAGGGCAAAGAAGGGACAAGGTGAAGTTCAATGGTGGATGTGGGGTCAGTACGGACTCATGGACTCAGTGGGACCGGCAGGGTGTTCACAAAGGCCTTCTGAAGCCAGAAGCATCTCAGCCACTGGAGGGGCACTGAGAGGGAGGGCACACCAGGCAGTGGGAGCTGCAGGGGCAAAGGTGTACGGCCCGATAACCCCGGTCAGGCAGGAAGATAGCTACGGCTCGAAAATATGGGAGATGATCGGGGCAGGGCACCTCTAGGGGCCCTTGCTGTGCAGCCCGAGCCCATCCCCGCCTCTCTCTGAGCTTCAGCTGCCTCCCAAAAAACAAGAGCAGGAACAGCTCTCACCTCTCAGGTCAAACGGGCAAGGATGCTCAAATAGAATCCACCTTTGAAGAGAGGGGCCCATTCAGTGAGGCGGAGGAGGGAGGCCAGGGTGAGGCATCGGGGCACTGGGAGGCTATGCTAGGTCACAGGCAGGCAAGGGCTAAGGCAGAAGCCAGGCTCAGGGAGGCTGGATGGAGCTGGTGGCTTCCAATCAATCCAGTCACCAAGCTTGTCTGTTTCTAGTTAATCTTCCCCCCACTCCCTTCCCCACAGAACAAGCCAACCACAGACAAAGGTGGCTGGTCACTGCCCTGGTGATTTCCGGATCAGTTGGCCTGCAGAGGCCCAGGATTCCTGCCTCATCAGGGAATCACCTTTCTAACAGGCACTCATAAATATCATGCACTTCCTGAGTGCAGGCCCTGCGCCCAAGCACTTGGCACACATTGGCTCATCGGATCTTCATGCCATCTTGTCAAAGCTGGTGCCAGCCTCGTCATCCCCATTTCACAGATGGGGAAACTGAGGTTCTAAGCTGTACAATCATACACAGCAAACAAGTGGCCAAGCCACGATTTGAACCCAGAACCAACTGGCTTCAAAGGCTTTGCTACTTCCATTACCCTTTATGGCATAAGCATCCGTGAGCACCCAAGATCCCAGTACTCCACGTCCGACTGGGGAATCCATCAGCCAGAGCTGGAACCCAGAGAGTCAGGGTCACCTGCCCCCAGCACCGCACCCCTCCTATACCTGGGAAAAGTTTTAGCCACGTTGGGTACACACTTAATAAGAATCAGATCCCCACAAATTACTCAGCAGCCAGAAGTCTGGGCTCACACCTCACTTTGCTGCACTCCTGTGGCCCCAGCTCTTAGCCTCTCTGAGCTTCAGTCTCCTCTTCTGTGTAACAGGAATAAGAGTTTGACTGCTCCCAGGATGGAGCAAGGGACACAATGGGTCACCTTATTATGACCCAGCTCAGAAGGGCATGACATGAAGATATCGACATCAGACAAGGTAAAAGTCAAGGCCATGAATTTGGGCAAAGCAGCCTAAGAGAAGCTAATCAGACCCCAACAGGGAGGCCATGCTTCCCCAGGCCACTCCAGCTCAATTTCCACTCCCAGCAACTGGATTCTGCCTGTGCCAGCCTCATAGCCCAGCAGGTCCAAGGGTTCAAAAGAACCCGTTCCTAAAGTTTCTCAGTGGGTCCACAAATATCACCACCCACCCACCACAGACATCCCCACCCCTACATGAGCACCAAAAAAGACTCCGCTGGGCCTGCCCCTGGAGCACTCCCCAGCTAGGATCACCATCACAGAGCCTCAGTGGGAGGAGTCCTCACCATACAGATGAGGAAACTGAGGACCAGACAGGAAGGGATTTGGCCAAGATCATTCAACTTCTCCTCCCTTCTGGCTTCTCCTTTTACTCTGGAACTTCTCTGGGTAGTTCTAAGGGAGAAGAAGGACCAAATGGACCAAAGTTGGGGGAAAGTCACTTGCCCAAGGACCCAGAGCAAGGAGTAGGGAGATGGAGGTCTGGCTCCCAGCTCTGAGATCCTCCCCGGTCATCTATCCCTGACTCAGCCTTACCAGGCTGTACTGTGGGAAGGAGGAGGCTGGCTGGCTGGGGAGAGTCCTGGATCGAAGACAAGAGCTCTGCATTTTTCTCCCAGCGTAGATGATTTGCCCTGGGTCTTTCTAGCCTCAATCCCCCCGATCTGTGAAAGGAGAAGGTCAGAATAGATCAAGAATGACAAACTCATGGCACACATACAATACTCTCTTATCCTGTGCCCATGGCAGACATGACTAATCTATCACAGCACTCTTTCCCATGAAGCCAACACTGAGCCTCAGAATGCTTCTCAACACAGCACTCTAGGCCAGGGGGATGAAAGCCCAGAAGCTTCCCTAAACTAGATAATATCTGAGTCCCCAACAGGGAGGAGAATGGGGAAAGAAAAATATAAAATTTTCTAAGCACCCAGTAGATTTGAGCCACGGGGAATACATTAGCTGATTTAATCCTCACAAGGGAGGTGTGCAGAGGCTGAGGTTTAGAGAGACTAAGTGACTTGGCTTTGGACAAACAGCAGGGAATGAGGCCTTGAACACAGGGGAGGCCTCTACTGGGTCTCCCTCCCCCAGGAACAGCGACACGGAGCCAGCCACCAGGTGGGGACCTAAGGTACAGCCTCATACCATCCTCTTGTTAGCCTTACCAGGTACAAGCCCTAGGCCCATTTCACAGCTTCAGAAACTGAATCACAGGACAGGGCATCAGCTGCCAGAGGAGGCAGGACTTGAGCAGGTGCCTGGCCCTCCCCCGCCTCCACTGATTGAGTCCCTAATGTGTGCTAAGCACTTTATTTCTGTCCTCTTGGGACATCCTGGGAACCATGACTCACTATCCTACTTCAGGCATGAAGAAACTGAGGCTCCCCAGAGGAAGTGGCCCCCAGGAGCTCAAGGGGAAGCCAGAGGGGTTTCCCACGGAGATAAGGGGTGGGGGCCATGGAGGGGAAGGAAAGGGTTGTGGGAATCCGAAGGGAGATAGAGATGTGGGGACACACACCGAGGCAGGAAATGAAGCTCCGGCAAAAGGCCCAGAGCAGGGAAGTGGTGGCCTTTTTCAGTGGCTCTGCTGGACTAGGAGTCCAGAGCCTACAGCCAAGGCCTGGCCCTGTCACTTGGCAACTGGGAGACCCTAGGCAAGTGGCTTTCCCTTCCTGGGTCTTAGTACTTACAACCGGAAAATGGGACCAATCACACCGAAGGCAGGCTTCGAAGAAGCGGGGCTGGGGCTAGACGCATGGCATTCTCCCCAGTTTAGCCTCTTCATACACAGAGAAGGCAAAGAGAGGGCAGGGCAGGACTCAAAGTCACCCTGCACATTGGCGGCCTTGGCTGCCAACATCCTCTCCCGAGCCAGCCCTGCCCCAACCGGCACCTTCAGACTCCATGAGATCACCCAGGCAAGGGCTTGACCACAGAGCTAGCAGGGCCAGACCCAGAGAGGCCGAGTGACCTGTCCAATGCAACAGCGCAAAGCAGGTCCCATTTGCCAAGTACCTACCGGTGCCAGACACTGGGCACACAGCCCTCCTTTAACCCTAATCCAACAAGGAGGTATCTGTTGTCCCCATTTTCATGACAAAGAAACTAAGTCTCTCAAAAGATACAGTAAATGATCCAAAGACACACAGCAAGTGGGACGGTCAGAACATAAACCCAGGCCTGTCTGACTCTTAAGCCCTTACCAAACCTTTGGTCCCCATCTCTCGGGCTGACCCCTCCCTGCTCCCTACCTCACTCCCAGCTTCCAGCCACCCAGCATTGCACTTCCCACACCCCCGGCTCTCATCCTCTCCAGCCTTGCTGCTAGTGAACTCCTACTCCACTTCCAAAGCCCAGCCTCAAATACCCGCTCCTCTTGAGACCTGATCTAGGCCTCCATAAAATTTTGGAGTCCAGCCTACAGATCTAGGTCTATCATCAGATCTATTTCTATTGGTCAGCTCTGTACCTCTGGCCTCCAGCTTGGGGCTGTTCACACAGGGGACACCGATCAGCCCCCTGTGTGACAATGAAGGCCAAACTCCTCCCCAGGGCCCACAAGGCCCCAGCATGGTCCAGCCCTGCTGATACACCCCCTCATTCTACCTCTTACCCACTCCCCTTCATTGTGCACGCTCCAGCCTCACAGCTTCCCCCACTGATTCTCCATGACAGCACGTCTTGGCACATACCTCAGGGCCTTTGCACATGCACTTCCTGCTGCCTGGCAAGCCCTTTCCCTAACTCCATGCCTGGTCAACCCCTACATGCCCTCTTCAAGATTCCTGTGTACCCTAGGCCTCTCTCCCTGAGTCCTTATCATATCTGTGATTATATAGTAACTCAACTGGCAACTTGTTTGCAACTTTGCTCACCCTCCAGATTCAAACTTCTGGGAGGCCAAGGACCTGTTCCCAGCTCCCCAGCAAGTATCCAACCAGGCTGACCACACCCCACCACCTCAGGGCCCCTGGGAAGGGAAAAAAGAGCTCCCTCTCCCCTTCTTTGCCAAGTGAACTCTTGCTCGTCCTCAGCTCAGGCCCTGCCACCTTCTAGAAGCCTCCATGACTCCCACAGCTCCCACTCCCTGCTAACCCCAGCACAATACTGCTCAGCCCGAGTTCCAAGTTCCTGGTACGCAGCAGGTGCTCAATACAGGGGTCACAAATGCTTATACATGGGGAGGTTTGAGAAAATGGGGTCAGCTGAGGACCACGGAGATGGGCAGAAGGTCCCTCAACAGGTCACTGAGCCATCTCCTCTCTGGTTCCTGGGGCTTGGGGGAGCCAGACATCCCTCCACCCCACCCCCCTGGTCACAATCAGAGAAGCAAAAGCAGGAACCAGGCTGAGCTGTGGATAAGTCATGCTCCAACAAGAGCTAGGGGACAGGGAGAGAGAGCCACGGGCCTTCCTCCTAGAAGAGAGGGGCCTAAGCTAAGCCTGGCGGGGCAAGGGCAGATAAGCAGCACCTGGAGGAGAGGGCACTCTGGGAGGGACACAGTTTAGGAGCAAAGGCCCAGGGGCACGCGGGAGGGCCTAGGCAGGCAGTCAGCTGAGAGAGGTGACACACTGTAAATCATTTCCTTGGGTGGAAAGACCACATCACCACATCACCAAAAAGGCCTCGTGGCTTTCATTCAATCCCTCAGCAGAGCAGTCTTTTCCGACACTGCTGTGTGTGCAGTCCTGTCTTGCGAACCTCCACTGCCCCATCACTGGAGGGATGCAGGGACAGCCAGACTGTGGTCTCTGAGGTCTGGGCTTTCATTCCAGCTTCCAACTATAGGGCCTTGGTCAAGTCACTTCCCCTCTCTTAGCCTCAGTTTCCCCATCAGCAAAATGAAGATAAACAAGAGTCTGTACCTCCTAAAAGGTGTTCAGTAGATGTTGGCAGCTGTCATTACCACTGGCCCAGTTTTATATGTGGCAAAACTGAGGCCAGAAGGGAAAAGTGAATTGCTTACGGTCACCCAGCTGCTGGCTGGCAGGACGGTGCCAGGGCTATTTCTTTCTCAAGGCACCAACCCATCCTCTTCTAGAATGAACTAGCCAGCAACCTCACATCTCACCCATCTTTCTCAGCCAATGTGTCCAGTGAACAATTCATTTATTGAGCATCTACTACACGCCAAGCCTCTACCTGCAGAAGCGCTTAGAATCTTCGCCTGAGGATTCTCATTTCACGTATAGGGACTTAGAGGGGCAGTCTCTTGGCCCAGGTCACTGGGTGAGACAAGAAGACTCGGTGCCTTGATCCCCCAGCCAGGGGGCTGAGAAGAGGGTCTGCAACAGGACCAGCCTGGCCCACCCTTGAAACCAAGTCTGATCCCAGCTGCACTGTGGCTGTGGCTGGGCCTGGACTTACCCCAGGTGACCCAGCAACCACTGCCCCAAATTGTACAGAGTCCATGAAGTTCAGGAGGTCTTGCCCAGGGGCACACACAGGCTCTGTCCACTCCTAAGTCCACCTGAAGGACGCAGGGGCTGAAAGGATACCACACAGGTGAGCCCCTTCTGTTCACCCCATCCTTCCACCAGCCTAGCAATTCCAGCCAGGCCCACCTGCCACCAATGAGGAACCCAGCTCAGAGAGGCAGGCAGTTGTCTGAGGACACACAGCAGGGCAAGTGGCAGCCCTGGTGGGGACTCAAACCCACCCCAATCCCAGCCCAGGCAGACAGGTGGACCTGGCCCGGTGGCCAACCCCCAAAACTTTTGCCAACTTCTGAGCCGGCTGGTAGCTGGGCCTGCTCAGGGGCGAGGCTGGGGGCTGTGGGCAGGGGAGACCAAACGCAGTCTGGCCCAGTCCCTTCCAGGCCGGCAGCACCAGGCCCTACCCGAGGCCCCACGAGGGCAGGGAGGTCCTGGCAGTTCGGCCTGGCGCCCTGACCCCGGGGCCCCTCAGCCCGCCCTGCCGATCCCCCCACCTCCCACCCGGGGCCGGGGGGCGCAGGGCCGGGCAGCCCAGGCAGAGGCGGCGCCGACTGGCTCAGATTTCAGATTTGGCCTAGACCTGGCCCGGGGGCTAGGGCCCAGCTCGCTGGCTTCTCTGGGGGATCCTATGGGGAGCATGAGCTGGAGGGGGTCCCCACGCAGCCAGGAACCCTGCGCCCCCCCCGCCCAGCCCCCTCCCCCCGCTGCATCACAACAAAAGGCCGCGCCGGGCATGGCCCCGTGCGCCCGCCCGGCGCTTGGGTATCGCGGCTTGGCCCGGAGGGGGGGTGGGAATTGGGGGGGTGGACAGGAGTCCCCGCCGGCCCGCGATCCGACGCCAGGGTGGTCCGGGGCGGGGGCTCCCCCGCGCTGGCCGGGGCGGGGGGTCCGCGGAGGGGCGGGGGGCGCTCACCTGGGCCGGCGGGCGGGCGGGCTCACCGGCAGACGGACGCACGGGAGGGCGGACCGCGGGACGTCCAGCGGGACGGGCAGACGGCGGCCTGGCCGCTCCGGCTCCCAGGCCGGAATGGATTCCGGGCCGGGAGAGACAGATCGAGAGAGAAAGGGAGGAGGAGGAGGAGGAGGCGGCGGCGGCCCGGGGAGGGGAAGAGGAGGGAGGGAGCGCGCGAGCTGGGAGGAGGGGCCCGGCAGGCAGCCGGGAGGAGGAGGAAGGAGGAAGCGCGCGGGGACGGATTCCCCGCCGGTGACCCGGGAGAGACCCAGGGGCGGCCCGAGCTGGGGGTCCGGGCGGGGTGGGGACACCGGGCACAGAAGCCCCGCCTCCCACTCCGCCAGGGCGCCGCACCCCGCGGGCCCCATCCGCCCCCAGGCCAAAATGCCCTCCCCAACCCACCCACCTTCTACGCCCCAGATCCGCCTCTCCCGAAATCACGATTGGTAATAATATCAGCGGGCGTGGAGCGCCCGCTCTGGGCCAGGCGCCATGCTAAGCTGCTCAGGTCGACTTCAGGGTTTAATCCTAACCACCACCTGGCCTGAGCGGCGGAAGATCGCCCCACTTTACAGATGGGGAAACTGAGGCACTGACAAGAACCAGGCCTTGGACTTTAGCCTTGACCTGAGTTTCTCAAAGTAGGGGCTGGGGCAGGAGGGACAGGGTGGGGAGGAGCGACATTTATTTTAATAGTTACGGGTTCATTTTAAGTGCATAAGGGCAAAACATCCCTGGCAGCCCATCGGAAGTCCCCTAGTTCTAATTATTACTGCTTAGGAGGGGCTGACCAGGGCATCTGAGTGGCAGTCACACTTCCAAGTAAGTAAAGAGGCTAAGTACCTCTGAACCAGGGCAGGAAATGTAGCAGAAAAACGGGACATTGAGGAAATGCTGCTTTAGGCCACAAAGACTCCCCTCTTACCCCCTGGCGCAGGCTCCAGGGCTATCCTTTTGGGGCTGGGCACCCCACCCTTGGCTCCTTACCTGTCCTGGAATCCTAGCACAGGGAAAGGTGGGCCTGGGTCCAGCTTTAAATATCACACCTGCCTCCATATTCCTTCTTTGAAAGTTCTCCCATTTCACAGATGGGAAATTAAGGCCCAGACAGGTCAGGCTTCTATTCCCTGGGCAAAGGTCCCTGCTGAGAGGAGCTGGGAGGAGCACCCTAGAATGTGGAAGGCAAAGGCCTCTGGGTACAACATACCTTCCAGGAGACCAGGAATGAGCAAAGCCTTACTCTACACTGATCTAGGTTCGCATCTAGGCTAGCTGCCCCTCTGCTGTGGGGTGGACAAGTCGATCAGCTTCCCAGCCCAGCCCCCTCACCTGTAAAACCGGAGTGAACATGGCCACAGAAGATTCCTGGGAAGGTTGGAACTGACCAGTGTGAGGATGGTCAGGTTGTGCTAGATGAATGGTAGCTCTTGCGGTGATAAACTGAGGCTAGAGGGGAAAGGGGCTGCTTGAGGTGCCACAGCCAGTCAACAGCAGAAGCCAGCCTGGGCTGGTGAAATGGCCGCACTTGTTTGCAAGGCTGGCTTAAAGATTAACCGCAGCTTCCCAGGGCTCAGGGCGGGCCCCCAGCTGGAGGAGCAGGTTTCTCAGCCCTCTTCCATTCCTTAGACATGTCTAAAGGCCTTTACTGGCCATACTGGGCTCGGGGGGGAGGCAGGGACATTTACCCAGTGACACGCTGGAGCTGGCCCTTACCTACTTGCAAGAACCAACTGTGCTCATCTCTTCCCAACTCCATATTCAAGAATGTCACACTGATAGCTCCATGTCAGCCACAGTGGGAGTATTTACCCCTTGGACATCGGAATACGCTACCAATCAAGCCTCTTTTTTCTTCCAGAGAGCTGGTTATTCAATATGTACGAGCACATCACTAAACTCATCCCCAGGAGTTCAACAGAAAATTCTGGGCTTTTCGAGAACTGGGATGACAGAGAGCTTAAAAGCACAGATTTTGGACCAGACCCAGGTTCAAGTCTCAACTCTGCCACTTTGCAGATAATGTAAGAAGCCTCAGTATGCCAACCTGCAGAGTGGGCTAAAGATATCACAGCCCCCAGAAGACGCATGTAAGGATGAAATGAGGTGATGCCCGCTCAGCACATGTGAAATCTCTTTCTCATTCATACCCTACATGCTCTTATCAGAGAGGAGGCAACTTAGACAAGTAAAGGTTCTGCAAGCACAGATGCAGCTTCCCACCTGAAGCCACTGCCGACTTCAAGGGCCTGGCTCAGCGGCTGAGGTTCTCAGGAGGATGTGGCCAGCACAATGGTTCCATTATTGAGCGTTTGAAGCACTCTTTATTTTTAACTACCCCTCTGGGCTTTTGCTAGGCTGTAACCCCTGCCAGGAAGGCTCAGCCCCTGTCCCTGGCTACCTCGCCTTGTTCTTCAAAGTCCAGAGTAAACGCCACCTTCTCCACAACATGCTTCCTGACACGCCCTGATGGAGGCACGTGCTAAGTCCGTTCTGAGTGTGTCTGTCCCCACCCTGAGGGCAGTGACCAAGGCCTGGCCCATGCCCAGCACGGAGCAGGCACTGCCCAGTTGGCCAGGCAGCACACACTGACTTGGGACCTACAGACAAGAGTTCAAGTTCCAGCTCTTCCCTTCAGTGACTATGTGAACCTGCCTTCTCTGGGCCTCAGTTTACTCATCAGTAAAACGAGGGTAACAACCCTGGCAAGTTCCAGGATTGTGCAGTTGGGAGTTGCTGGTCTGGCCTGGTAGATAAGTGACTCTTTGTGCAAATTATTTTGCTTAAAACATTCTTTGTTGGTAAAGCAGCAACTCATTGCTTAATTCCTGCAAATCATCGTTAATGGACAGCAAGCATTTATTGACTACCAACTGTATATATGGCCCCAGGCCAGTCTTAGAACACCAACAGGAACCACTTCCCAACCCAAAAGCACCCAGCAGATGATAGATGCTATTGACGTCAACATTGCTGAGATGGTGAGTGCTGGTTGTATAGTCCTCTGTCTCCAGAAACCTCCTCTTCCCTCCTTCCCTCAACCTGGGTGGGCCAAAGCCACAACTGAGGGCAGGGTGGAGGGGGTAGGGTGAGGCCTGGCCCTCCACGACTGGCAGTGAACCCACGAGCCAGAGTTGTCCCATGACATGGGATCAGAGGTGCTGCCCACAGCACACCTAGTGCCCTGGTGACCCTGGCTCAATGATGGCTGATCTGCTATGCCCAGCCCCAGCCCAGCTCACCCTTGCTGCAGCAGCCAGGAAACTGGACCCATCACAGGCCTCAGTGGGAAACTCCAGAACAGTTCTGCCATTCTCCACATGGTGTGCTGTGAGTGGTCTAGTTGAAGCCACCAGGCTCAGGGCTACAGGACAGGGTGGGTGGGGGATGGGCTCTAGCCTGAGTCTGTGGAATGGGCTTGGCACCTCCCCTGGCACTGCACTTCACAGTTTACACAGAGATGTCGTGCTGTGCAGGCCCTGGTCTCCTCCCCTCCTCTACCTGCCTCCTGCTGTCCCTCCACAAGCAGTCCCTGTCCTGAGGCCTTTGCACTTGCTGATCCCTCTGCCCAGAAGGTTCCCCACCCCCTAGTCCTTGGCTTGGCTTCACTCTTCCTTCCTCCTGCAGTGGTCATTTATTGAGCATCTACTATGTGCTAGGGTCTGTGCTACATGCTGGGATACAGCAGTGAAAAAACCAAGGCTGGTCTTTGGTCTCTAACTTAGAGGAGTCAGGGATGGGCAAGTACAGGGGCTGCAGGGCCCAGAGTGGGGCCCCCAACCCAGCATGTGTGTTGAGGAGAGAGTTGTCTATGGAGAGTTTAGAAGCCTGGGGAGATGGTTGCCAGGTGAAAATGGGACAGGGAGGCAGGGCATGGTGGGTCACGCCTATAATCCCAACACTTTGGGAGGCTGAAGCAGGAGGATCACTTGAGTCCAGGAGTTTGAGACCAGTCTGGGCAATATAGTGAGGCCCTGTCTCTACAAAAAAAAAAAAAAAAAACTAAAAATTAGCCAGATGTGGTGGTGTGCACCTGTGGTCCCAGGTACTGGGAAGGCTGAGCTGGGAAGATAACTTGAACCCAGGAGATCGAGGCTGCAGTGAGCCATGATCGTACCACTGCACTCTAGCCTGGGTGACAGAGCAAGACCCTGTCTCAAAAAACAAGATAATTATAATAACAAACAGGACAGGACAGGTGTGCAGGTAGAGGGACAGTGTGAGCAAAGACAGAGATGGGGAACGCCGCTGCGTCTGCAACTCCATGCAGAAGCAGGTGGTGTTTGCGAAGCACAGCATGGCGGTTGGGCTGGAGTCGGGGAAGTGAGGTGGGAAGGGTGGTAGGGGAACCTGAGGATCCCTGAGTGCCAGGCGTGGCTTCTGTCCTGGAGGTGGTGGGAGCCACGGAGGGTGGTGAGCAGAGCAGGGCCTGGGGAGACATGGAGTGGCGGTCACATTAGGGGACAGGGAGGGGGCAGTCAGGAGGCCTCTGTGCTGAGGAGCAGCGGGGACCCAGCTGATGCAGAAGGCCTGGCTCACACAGGAGTGTGTGCATGGGCATATATCCGTGTTCCAGGAAGTGAGGCCAAACTGGCCGAAGGTGGGAAACCCAAGACACTAGAGAAGCATCCCCAACCCCATGGGAGTCAGGAGCCAGGAGCAGATGAGCTTGTTCTCCCCCAGCGGCCAGCACCGGGAGGGGCGTCCAAAACATGGGTGTCAAAGGCAGAAAAGAAAAATCTGAAAAACTATCAGAGCAAAGAGGAGACATGATCCTGGGGCAGAAAAAAGACATTAGGGAAAGACTTAGGAAGTCTGACTAAAGCATGGACTTCAATTATAATAATGTATCAGACCAGGTGCAATGGCTCATGCCTTGTAATCCCAGCATCGAGGCTGAAGTGGGAGGATCACTTGAGTCTAGGAGTTCAAGATTAGCCTGGGTATACAGTGAGACCCCTGTCTCCACAAAAAACAACAACAAAAAATTAGCTAGGCGTGGTGTGCACCTGTATCCCAGCTACTTGGGAGGCTGAGGCAGGAGGATCGCTTGAGCCCAGGAGGTCAAGGCTGCAGTGAGCCGTGATGGTACCACTGCACTCCAGCCTGGCTAACAGAGTGAGACGCTGCCTCTGAAATTTTTTTAAATAATAATAATGTATCAATATTGTATTGATTCATTAATCATAACAAATGTGCCCCCGTCAGGGAAGAGATGGTGACAGCAGCACCTGAGCAGGTGGCGCCTGAGTGGTGACCTTCAAACGGCATTAACCACTGAGCACAGCCCCACACATTCAAACCCTCACAGCCGGACCTTCTGGGCTGTGTGGCCGGTTCACAGATGGGGAACCTCAGGCTCAAGTGTGTCTCTACCCAGCCCAGAATCTGGAGACAAAACACAGACGTCAAAGGCAGAAAAGACCTGCCCATGTGAAAATGGGGGAGACGCCTGGCCCCACTGGGCTCGCATGACGGCCAAGTACGCTCAACACCTCACTCCCCTCAGGCTGCAGAAGAGGCCCAGAGAAGGACAAGCATTCTCCCAAGGTCACACAGAGAGTTGCTGGCAGGCAGAGCCACCATCCCACCCCAGCCCAGGCCTCCTTCCGCCACATCCCAGAATGTTTGTGAGAAAAGATGAAAGGAGGCTGGGCCCTTGATCTGCCTGGCCTGATGGGAGGGCAGAGGGCAGCCGGAAATCTGCAGCTAGAGCTGTGACCCCACAGTCCACAGGGGGTGAGAAACCTGCCGCACAGAGAGGAGACGGTCACGACAGGAGGGCTGAAAGAATCATTGTAAAAATAATCACCATGGCTCACAGTCCTGGTGCAAGGAGTTTCCTGAGCAGGGAATCGCTTCCAGGGACTCTGGATGTAGCATCTAGTTCATTCTTCACAACGCAACAAGGTAGGAGCTAGCTATTGTTATCCCACCATACAGATGAGGAAACTGAGGCTCAGTGAGGTGACATGACGTGGTGAGGAAGGGCGGGACCTTGAATTCAAACCCAAACAAAATTCAAGCCTTCCTGGCTGGGTGCGGTGGCTCACGCCTGTAATCCCAGCACTTTGGGAGGCCGAGGCAGGTGGATCATCTGAGATCAGGAGATCGAGACCAGCCTGGCCAACATAGTGAAACCCCATCTCTACTAAAAATACAAAAACTAGCTGGGTGTGGTGGCAGGTGCCTGTAATCCCAGCTACTCGGGAGCCTGAGGCAGGAGAATTTCCTGAACCCGGGAGGCAGAGGTTGCAGTGAGCTGAGATTGCACCACTGCACTCCAGCCTGGGCAACAGAGCAAGACTCCCTCTCAAAAAAAAAAAAAAAAAAAAAAATTAAGCCTTCCTGAATCTGGAACTCAGGTGCTGCGGTTCTGTGCTACCCGGGTCTGTGAACCTCAAAGCTCGCATATTTCACATCCAAGAGCAAAAGGCCAGATCCACAGGGGCCGGGCAGGGAACCACTGCTGCCCCTCTGAGCACTGGCCTCCACCTCAATGGAATGCCTCCATCCTCCACATTTCCTAAGCATTGGGAAGATGCAATGTAGCAATGTTTTGTGGGAGTACTTTGAAAAGTAGATAGAAGAAAAAATATTCACACTATACTCCACCCTCAAGGAGAGGAACATTACTCCCCAGTCCCTAGATGTGGGCTGTGCTTGGTGGCTCCCTTCTAAAGAGTTCAGGGTGGAAAGAGGGGTGGGGGCGGTGCCTTTGCAGTGCAGGAACCTTACAAACGCTATCTCAGCCAGGTGATCAGGACAACATCAGCAGTGATCGGGCCTGCTGATAACATTTGCCCTTGATATGATGTGATTAGAATGGCATTTTACCTCTGTGGTCTTTCTCCTCAGAACCCGGAACCCCAGTCTAGCCATGAGAAAAGCCTCAGACAGATTCTAATAGTGGGGCATTCTACAGAACACCAGACTAGGCCAGGCACTGTGGCTCACATCTATAATCCCAGCACTTTGGGAGGCCAAGGCAGGAGGATCACTTGAGGCCAGGAGTTCAAGACCAACCTGGGTGACATGGTGTGACCCTATCTCTACCAAAAAACAAATTTTTTAATAAAATTAGCTGGGCATGGGGGCACATGCCTGTAGTCCCAGCTACTCAGGAGGCTGAGGTGGGAGAATCGCTTGAGCCTGGGAGGTGGAGGCTGCAGTGAGCTATGATTGTGTCACGGTACTCAAGCCTGGGTGACAGACTTAGACACTATCCAAAAAATAAAAAATAAAAGGCCAGGCAAGGTGGCTCATGCCTGTAATCCCAGCACTTTGGGAGACCAAGGCGGGCGGATCACAAGGTCAAGCGATCGAGACCATCCTAGCCAATATGGTGAAACGCCGTCTCTACTAAAAATACAAAAATTAGCTGGGCGTGGTGGCACATGCCTGTAGTCCCAGCTACTCGAGAGGCTGAGGCAGGAGAATTGCTTGAACCCGGGAGGTGGAGGTTGCAATGAGCTGAGATTACGCCACTGTACTCTGGCCTGGCAACAGAGCAAGACTCCATCTCAAAAAACAAACAAACAACAACAACAAAAAAAAAAAACACGAAAAACAAAAAACAGAACACCTAACTAGTATTCCTCAAAACTGTCAGGGTCATCAAAAAAAGAAAAGTCCGAGAAACTATCAAAGCCAAGAGGAGACATGATCCTGGGACAGAAAAAGGACATAGGTGCCAGGCGCAGTGGCTCATGCCTGGAATCCCAGCACTTTGGGAGGCCAAAGCAGGTGGAACACCTGAAATCAGGAGTTCGAGAACAGCCTGGCCAATACGGTGAAACCCCATCTCTGCTAAAAATACAAAAATTAGCCAGGCTTGGCGGTGCATGCCTGTAATCCCAGCTACCCAGGAGGCTAAGGCAGGAAAATAGCTGGAACCCAGGAGGTGGAGGTTGCAGTGAGCCGAGATCATGCCACTGCACTCCAGCCTAGGTGACAGATCGAGACACTGTCTCAAAAAAAAAAAAAAAAAAAAAAGGGGACATTAGGCATTAGGGAAAAACTAAGGAACTCCATAGCAAATATGGACTTTAGTTAATAATAATGTATCAATATTGGTTCGTTAATTGTAACATACTATACTATCATGGATATTAATAATCAGGGATTCCCTAGCAAGCCCACTTGAGAAAAAAAAAACTTAATATAACAATAATAATAAGGGAAATTGAGTGTGGGGTATGTGCCATGTTCTAGAGCAAAGGACTGAATTTTCGGACAGGGAGGAAGTTAAGACACTTGTCTGTAAACATTTCCTTCTAAACCCAGGGAAACTTAGGACCAGAGAATAGAAGTGACTTGCCCAAACTCAAACTGCAAGTTTATGACAGAGCCTGGACTAAGATCAAGCTTTCTCAATGTCACAAGAATTCAGTAACAGCCTACTGTATACAAGGCACCAGCCTAGGTCCTCATCATGGTGAAGGCTGGTGGGGAGGTTCAAAGATTTGTCCATGGGTCAACACCTCCCCAAGGCCAGGTCTCCAGGGACACAGACTCTGCCCTTTGAAGGCTCCAAGCCAGAAGAGGAAACAGACCCTGAAACACTATGAGCAGGAGGGCCAGAGAGCGACACACTTTGGTATCCAGGAGACCCAGCCCCACTGCCTGCAACCCTGCAACCTCCCTGTGCCCCACTGAGCTGCTCAGTAAAATGGAACTAAGGATGGTGCCAACTGTCAGTGATGCTGAGAGGTACAACAAGGAGGTGAAATGTGAGACCCTGTGCATTGTGGACACCCAATAAACAGTGATTCTTTTTATTTTTAAGTGTGTTCTGAGTGCTACAGGAGTTCGGGGGTGGGGAGCATTTGTCAGTTTGCCTTGATAGGGGATTCTCGGAGAGTTTACCAAACGAGGGACATTTAGATTGAGTCTCTGCTGGGTGCAATGGCTCACGCCTGTAATCCCAACATTTTGGGAGGGTGAGGCAGGAGGATCACTTGAGCCCAGGAGTTTGAGACCAGCCTGGGCAACACAGCGAGGCCCCGTATCTACAAAAATGATTAAAAATTAGCCAGGCATGGTAGGTGTGCCTGTACTCCAGCTACTCAGGAGGTTGAGGCAGGAGGATCACTTGAGCCCAGGAGTTTGAGGCTGCAGTGAGCCATGATTGTGCCACTACACTGCAGCCTGGGCAGCAAAGCAAGATCCCATCTCCAAAGTAAAAAAATAAAATAGATTGGGTCCTGAAGGATGGAAAGGACTTTGCCACACCGGAAGGATGTGAAAGCTGCGGTCCCAGCTTTCAGTTCTCACAGTCTGGTCCGAGAGAGAAGGGGACACGTCAAGCCACCCTCCCAGGGGATTCCCACGCAACAGGACCTCCCCATTTCCTGGCCTGGATGGCTCCTTTCTGGCCTGCCTGGCCTCTGAGATTCACCAGTGCCTGAGCCAAGGCCACAGACAGCAGGGGAGGGGCAGGGGTGGGGGCACGCACCAGGGCTGAACAAACCCAGGGCTCATCTGGAAAGGAAACCAAACCCTGCCTCCCACTCACCAGCTGAGTGTCACTTGTACAGCTTCCTCCTTCTGTTCCTGTTCAGGAATTACCCAGGCAGGGCTCTGTGGTGGGGCTGGGGGACGGGGGGCTGGTGGGGGAGTGGGGCTGCCCCAGAGGCGGAGCCTGGAGCCTCCTTGGTCTGCTCTGGCCACGCCCAGACTCATCCCCTCTGGCTGGCTGGCCTGCTCCCAGACCCATTTCTCTCCTCAGCAGGCCAGGTTTCCTCCCTCCTCCACACACCTGCCCACGCAGTACCACCATCTCCTCTCTGCTGGTCCAAGCCCCACTCCCCTTTGGCCCAACCCCGGCCCCTCCTGGAAGTCTTCCACAGAGATCCCTCCCAGTCTTGCCTTCCTTATCGTCTTTATCCATTCAGGCCTGCATGTCAGCTCCTGTGCTGGAGCTGGGGACAGACAAGTGAGCAGTGAGTGACCAAGACTGGCACCGTCCCTGCCCTTTGGACCTGGAGCCTCTAATCCCTATGTCTCGTGTGTCCCGCATGCTTCATCCACACCCCAGTGGGAAATCGGAAGCCAGGACTGCAGTCCTGTGCAGCCTCTGAACAGTGTGGCCTTGGGCAAGTCCCTTCCCCTCTCTGGTCGGAGTGGTTTCCATAGCTGCTAAGGGAAGCAGTGCGATGTCCAGGGGGCAGGCTGGAGGGATGGTGATGTCTGCTCCCCCAACCCTTCCTGCCCCAATGTAATGCCCTGCAAATAAAGTTTCCCTCCAAGTGGAACTGGTAAAATGCACACACGGGGCTCTGACTCATCAGAATTTTTTTGCAGAAACAAATATAGGGGTCAGTGGGAGGGACCTGCCGGGTGGCTGAACATCACGGTTAAGAGCAGACCTGGGTTTGAATCCTGCCTCGGTAGCTGTGTGGCCTTGGAGGTCATTAACCCCCGACTCTCACTTCTCTCATTGGTAAAACGGGGATACTTGTACACACCTCATATGGCTGTGTAATGACACACATGCTAGATACCCAGTGAATGCATATTATTATCATTTCTGGTGCAGCCGGACAAGTCCATTAATAAAGTAGATAATTATGACGGCCTTAAAATTAATAATGTAGATCCACATAACTTTTATTTTCTTTTTTAGTTCTTTTGAGAAAAGGTCTTGTTCTGTTGCCTAGGCTGGAGTGCAATGGCACAATCACGACTCGCTGCAGCCTCAACCTCCGGGGCTCAAGAGATCCTCCCACCTCAGCCTCTGAATAGCGGGGACTACAGGCGCACACCACCACGCCCAGCTAAAGATTCATATGTTTTGACATGGAAAGAGTTCATGTCATATTAGTAAATTAAAATATTATAGCATTAATGATGTAACTATTTCTGTCTTTTAAAAAAGTGGGCACAGGAAAAATGGAATAAACACTTCCATGATACTAGCAGTTGCCCTGGGGGTGGGGGATCACCGATGAGCTTAATAATTTTTTCTTTTATGCTTGTCTTTATTTTTTACGTTTTCTTCTCTCTCTCTTTTTTTTTTTTTTTTTTTGAGACAGTTTTGCTTTTGTCACCCAGGCTGGAATGCAGTGGCGCTATCTCGGCTCACTGCAACCTCTGCCTCCCAGGTTCAAGCCATTCTCCTGCCTCAGCCTCCCAGCTAGCTGGGATTACAGACATGCGCCACCACACCTGGCTAATTTTTGTATTTTTAATAGAGATGGGGTTTTGCCATGTTGGTCAGGTTGGTCTCGAACTCCTGACCTCAGGTGATCCACCCGCCTCGGCCTCCCAAAGTGCTGGGATTACAGGTGTGAGCCACTGCGCCTGGGCATTTTTTAAGTTTTCTACAGTGAGCTAATGTTGCTCAGGCAATAGAAAATAGCTTAAGTTAGTTTTATGTATTTATGTGTTTTTTAGACACAGGAGGTCTCATTCTGTCACCCAGGCTGGAGTGCAGTGGCATCATCACAACTCACTGCAGCCTCAAACTCCTGGGCTCGAGGAATCCTCCCACCTCAGCCTCCAGAGTAGCTGGGACTAGAGATGAGCGCCATGACACCTGGCTTGCCTTCCTTTCTTTCTTTCTCTCTCTCTTTCTTTCTTTCTTTCCTTTCTCTTTCTTTCTTTCTTTCCTTCTCTTTCTTTCTTTTCTTCCTTTCTTCCTCCTTTCTTTCCTTTCTTTCCTTCCTTCCTACTTTCTTTTCTTTTCTTTTTCTTTTTTTTTTTAAGAGATAGGGTCTCACCATCTTGCCCACACTGATCTTGAACTGGGCTCAAGTGATCCTGCCACTTCAGCCTCCCAAGTAGCTGGGACCACAGGCGACCACCACCATGCCCGGCTAATTATAAAAAAAAAAAAAAAAAAAAAAAAAAAACTTTTTTTGTAAAGACGAGGGCCTCCCTATGTTGCCCAGGCTGGTCTTGAACTCCTGGGCTCAAGTGATCCTCCTGCTTTGGCCTCCCAAAGTGCTAGGATTACAGGCGTGAGCCACTGCACCCGGCCTATGAGTTATTTTTAAAGTGCCATCTAGCGCCCTCTAAGCACACGGATCTTTGCTTCCCAACTAGTCGGGAAGCCCAAGTACAAGGCCTAGTCCACAGCCCAAGGTTCCTGGGGGCCAAAGTCCTCAAGGCGGCTGGTCATGCACTTGGCCTTTCCGCACCCGCTCTGGGCTGGTCCCTCTGGGGGCACCTGCTGGGGATGCTCTGTGACATCCGTTGTGCATTTTGCACCTGTCGTGGCACCATTGATGAGAAAGAGTGCTACCCCCAGGAGGAAGTGCCCAGTTCTTCTTCGTGACGTTCTGGGATGTCCCCTTCCCCTTCCCCTTCCCCTTGGCCTTGACTCACCCTTTCTACGTCCACACACGTTCCCGGGGTAGGGCAGAAGCGGGTAATGAGGAAGGGAGGCTCCTTTGCACTGGGCCTGGGCTGAGGACACAGCCAGTGTTAGCCCAAGAGGAGCCAGCCCACTGTCTGGTGGCTTCAGCTTCACTCTATCTTAGTTCAGGTTCTCCTGAAGCAGAGCCCGAGACTACTCTTTTGAGAAGTGACCCCAGGAAGCTGGAGCAAAGAAGCAGGAAGGGAAAGGCAGGGAAGGAGAAAAGCCAATACATGGAGCGCTCTGGAGGTCACCGCTGTAGGATCGAGAAGGGACTACCTACCCAGCTGCATGCCAGATCTCCCTCCCCAGCCCTGGCCTCCCTCCAGAACTCTGGACCCATCTGTCCAGTCATCATCCAGACCTTTCCATAGAACGTCCTCCTACCCCGACACAGTATCCCAGAGACTCCACTCATCCCAGGCAGAACATATCTTCTGTTCCCTGAAACTGGCCCTCCTCTGGGATCCCACCCTTTCAAGAACTTCAGCCAGAGAACGGGTGAGGTGGCTCACACCTGTAATCCCAGCACCCTGGGAGGCCGAGGTGGGAGGGTTGTTTGAGCAAGCGAGGTTGAGGCTGCAGTGAGCCATGACTACTGCACTCCAGCCTGGACAACAGAGGGAGACCCTATCTAAAAAAAAAACAAAAAAGAACTTCCACCAGAAACCTGGCATCCCTGGCCTCCCTCCTCCACTCCAACTATCCCCTCCTTTCATCCCCTCCCTGGTACTCAGGTGGGGCCTGGCTCATCCAGATCCCAGCTGTGCCCCTCCCTAATTCATCCTATAACAGTCCTTGTGGCCAAGCTCAGTGGTCAAGCCTGTAATCCCAGCACTGTGGGAGGCTGAGGTGGGTCAATCACTTGAGGTCAGGAGTTCGAGACCAGCATGGCCAACATGGCGAAACCCCGTCTCTACCAAAAATACAAGAAAATGAGCCAGGCGTGGTGGTGTGCACCTGTAATCCCAGCTACTCAGGAGGCTGAGGCAGGAGAATCGCTTGAACCCAGGAGGCGGAGGCTGCAGTGAGCCGAGATCGTGCCACTGCACTCCAGCCTGGGTGACAGAGCAAGACTCCAACTCAAAAAAATAAAATAATGTTAAAAAACAGTCCTTGTGTTCTTCTTTCCAAATCACAGCTCTGATCCTTCAGTGGCTCTCCAGGGGCCTTAGGCCAAAGCTCACACTTAAGAGGCCACCAGGGCCCCGCCAGCCTCTCCAGTCCTACCTCATCTGCCTGCAAGGCTGAACGGCTGAACCTCCACCACCCCTCTTCCCTGCCGCTGTCTCCCCAGTGGGCCCTGCTCCTGCTTGCCCTCTGCTGGGATGTCCTTCCTGTCTCTAATCCCCTGCTAACTCCTGTTCCATTCTTTGGTCCCTCCCCTGACCCCCAAGCCCAGGTCAAAGCTTCGTAGATCCCATCTGCACTCCTCCCAGTGGATGTTTCTCCAGCAGGGAGAGGGTGGGCTGGGTCATCATCATGTTCCGGCATTGCTCAGACCAGCGCTTGACGCTCAACAGGCCCCAACACTTGTTGGGACAGGAATCTCAGGCCTGGATTCCCCAGATCGGCTGGCGCCATGCCAGGCCCATCTCAGCCCCTGTCTGAGGCTAGCACATTAGCTCTGGCTTCCAGAGCAGGAACTGAGCCAGCCACCCTGCCCCCCGTCACACCCTGAGTCTGGCCTCACCTTCTCTCAGGGCCCCGCCAGCTCAGGGAGGACTCCGGAGGCAGGGATCCCCAGGCAGCCCGGAAGGAGCCCAGCCCCAGTGCTGGCTCAGGCCTCAGCCGCCTGGGGCCACAGGCTGTGGCTGTGACCTCTCCTATCCAGATGGTTGGATCTGGGGGAGGCTCCTTCCCACACCCCAAATTTGAACCAAGCCTCGGGCCGCTTGTGGTCCATGCTTAACTTCCCACCACAGCTGCATCCCTGTCATTAAACATCTTTAATCATCTAATGGTGCAATTAGCTCCCTGAGCTTTGAGCTGGCTCCCCTGCAGCCTTCTCATTCCTGGAGGTGTTGGCATCGAGGTTTCCAGGTCCTTCTGTTCAACTCAGCAAACACTCGGGGAGCTCTGTCTGTGGAAGCTTGCCCTCAGAAGTACCCAGCACGTGAAGGGCCAGCCTGGGCAGCCTCCCCTCCCTGCCACAACGTGGGCCAGGGATAAGAGGAGGCATCCATCACCAGCCAGGCCCCTCTACCTGCCAGACAGGCCCAGAGAGGGTGAGTAACTTCCCCAAGGCCACAGAGCCCAGGTCTGGAGATCTGATTGAGGCCTTGGGAGTGGGTAAAGCATTTGTTGAGTGACTGATGGGGGCTCGTTGGTTAATAAAATGCACACGGCCCCTGCCTTTGTGGATTTCACAGGTTGGTGTGAGAGGTGGTCGGTAAAAAAATTGAACCAAGTGATGCAGAAATGCAGAATGTGCTACCTGCTAGGACAGGAGTCAGTGAGGGACAGGGTGAGAAGGATGTGAGGAGTTCTGAGGACAGCAGGTCAGAAAGGCTTCCCAGAGGAAAGTAGCTAAAGCTTGGTTTTTATTGTTCTTATTGCTTTTTAGAGGGTCTTGCTCTGTTGCCCAGGCTGGAGTGCAGTGGTACAGTCCTGGCTCACTGCAACCTCAAACTCCTGGGCTCAAGTGATCTTCCCGCCTCAGCCTCCCAAGCAGCTGGGACTAGAGTTGGGCAGCTAAACCTCGAAGGATGAAAAAGAATGACCATACAAAGATTCGGGAGAGCTAGGCATGGTGTCATTCCAGCTCTTTGGGAGGCTGAGGCAGGAGGACCGCTTGAGCCCAGGAGGTTGAGGCTGCAGTGAGCTATGATCGTGCCACTGCACTCCAACCTGGGTGATAAAGCGAGATCCCATCTCAAATAAAATAAAAAATTAAAAGAAAATGATTTGAGGAAAAGAACATTCAGGGAAAGGCCCTCAAGGTGGGAACTGGTTATATTGGATCTGGATGGAGAATGGGTGGAGGAAGATTAGTGGGAGATGGAACCAGAGCTCTTCACAGGGACTAGAGCCTCCTGGGGTATGGGGAAGGGGCTTGAGCTTTACTTCCAGGCTCTGGGAGACCACTGTGGATGTTAAAGGAGGAGACAGGTGTTGGTGACAAGATGTTAATGTATTTTTTTTTTAATTTTTTGTAGAGACAGGGTCTCCCTGTGTTGTCCAGGCTGGTCTCGAACTCCTGAGCTCAAGGCATCCGCCCGCCTTGGCCTCCCAAATGCTGGGATTACAGGCATGAGCCACCAATGTATGTTTTTGCAAGGCCCTGCCAGCAGCTGCATAGAGCGGGATTAAGGGACGTGGGTGGAGGCAGGGAGGCCAGCAAGGAGGCTGGGATGTCCTCCAGGAGGGAGGGAAAATGTTGCAAGCCTGGCAGGGGAGGTGGTGAGAGTGGATGACTTGAGTGCATTAGGAGGAAGCACCCACAGTCCCTGCTGATGGATGAGGGGTGTGGGCACAGAGAGGGCAGCTCAAGACGGATTCTCAGGCTTTGGGTGGGTGAGTGGAGGTGCATTTACTGAGATGGGGAAGGTTGGGTAGGAGCCCACTGAGGCCAAAAAGTCACGAGTTTGGTTTTGGCCAAATTATTTTGGGCAAACCTGTTAGATATCCATGGAGATGTTGAAAAAAATGAATAATTTAACCAACACTTTTGAACACACTGCATCAGTTGCCAAGTGCCTTATATGCATTAACTCATTGCAACCCATTGGAAAAAGTGCTACAGGTTGAGTCTCCCTTATCCGAAATGCTTGGGACCAGAGGTGCTTCCATTTTGAATTTTTTTGGATTTTGAAATATTTGCATTATATATATCCCTAATCCAAAAAATAAAAAATGAAATCTGAAATGCTCCAGTGAGCATGTCCATTGAATGTCATGTCAATGCTCTAAAAGTTTCATATTTTAAAGCATTTTGGATGGCAAATTTTTGAATTTGAGGTGCTCAACCTGTATCATTATTCCCATTTCACTGATGGTGAAGCTGAGGCTCAGAATATGATGTTTTGTAAAGGATGAGAAAGCCAGGAAGAGCCAGGGGGAGTCCTCATGTCTAATACGCTGCAGGAAGAGGCCTCCAAAGAGGGTTATAGGCTTCCTGGAAGGATGTTGTTCTGGGATTAGATGTTGCTGGGAGATCACGTGAGATAAGTCAGGGCCAATAGTGTCCAGGTCATTGAGCCACCAATCACAAAGCAGCTCCAGCTGACCTCAGGGAGTAAGGTTTCAGGGGAGTAGAGGCGGGAGCTAGACCACTAGAGGTCCTGGAAAGAGTGGGAGGAGAGGTGGAGGCAGCTAAGCCTGGCTGGGGAGGGCAGGGGGGAGACAGACGCCGCTTACAGGGACTGGGGTCCCAGGATACTCTCCTGCCCATCTAGAGCCAGAGACTCCAGGGATTTGTCAGAGACGGACACTTCAGAATAAGAATTTCCTTTTTGAGTCTGGGCGCGGTGGCTTACGCCTGTAATCCCAGCACTTTGGGAGGCTGAGACAGGCAGATCACCTGAGGTCAGGAGTTCGAGACCAGCCGGGGCAACATGGTGAAACCCCATCTCTACTAAAAGTAAAAAATAAAAAAAATTAGCCGGGCATGGTGGCATGTGTTTGTAGCCCAGGCTACTTGAAGGCTGAGGCACAAGAATTGCTTGAACCTGGGAGGTGGAGGTTGCAGTGAGCCAGGATCATGCCACAGCACTCCAGCCTGGGCAACAGAGGGGGACTGTTTCAAAAAAAAAAACAAAGAGTTTCCTTTTTGGTACTGATCAGCAGCTGTGCACCTCAGTCCTTGGTATTATTGAGGGCTGTTTCTTGCCTGCAGCAATTCTCCAATGGACTGAGGACAAGGCAGGGGTCAGGAGAGGGCAGGGTGCCTTACTCTCCCCTCTCCCAGCTCGAGGTGTTCCCACACACATTGGGACTCAGTCAGAGCTGAGAGGGCTGCCAGGCAGCGCCCTTATGCTCCCAGAGGACTCTGGACCTGTAGGAGGTGAAAAAGGCCACAGCCTTGGGTGCCAGGATAGGACAGTCTCTCCTGGCCATGGACGGGCGCCCTCCAAGCTCACAACGAACATTAACACTTTCCCCACCCAAGAAGTCCAGAGGTAGGGAGACCTCCGCCATCCCCTGCAAGTGCATTCTGGGAAGACCCAGACCCAGACTGGGGAAGGGCCTTGCCCAAGGTCTCATCCCATTTGTCCGTCACCTCCTCTCATCAGTGCCGCCAGATGCGAACCCTCCAACATGGCCACCTGCCCCAGAGGCCCTCCTTGGCTCTCCCCTAGGCTTGGTTAGGCCCTGGCCTGTGTTCCCAAAGCCCCTCAGGCCTAATATCCCCAGGCTTGCCACAGCCTATGGTCATAGTCTGTCTGTGTGTCTGCCTAGCCCCACTGATTGGAGGCTGGGGCCAGATCTGATTCACCTGGCATCCCCGATGCCCAGCATAGGGGCTAAACAGGGCCGGGGCGTCAGTGTATTTGTTGAACCCACCTGAGCTGAACTGAACCGCTTGGGCTTTTGCTAAGGGCCATAAGCCTGGATCCTTCTCTGGCTTGAGAAGCAAAGTGCCACATTTCAGGTTCGGCGTTTCTACCAAGTGACTACATAGGAGCAAAGACTCAGGATCCCTGAATGATAGGAAACCACAGGGAACATCAGGCATCCTGCCCTCATCTTCCAGAGAAGGAGGCTGAAGCTTAGAGTGATGCGGGATGAACCACAGGCCTGCCAGCAGTGGGGATGGGTCGTACTAAGATGGCCTCGGCCCACAGGCCCGCCAGCAGTGGGGATGGGTCGTATTCACATGGCCTCGGCCCTGCTCCTGGCTCCGTTTCCATAAATGTGAAAGCCCAGGTTTCCTCGTCTGCAAAACTGAGTTGGACTCGGCAGTCTCTGAAAGCTCGGCCACTGTCCAGTTCCGTGAACTCACAGGCTCCAAGCCCCGCAGCGGGGGGAGGAGAGGCCCTTTCAAGAGGCTGTTTATCATCTTGTTGTACCCCCTTGAGCTCTTGGAGCAAAACATTCCCAAGAAACAGGGTGATTCATTCACAGCACCACTTGCCAGTTCCAGAGAAGAGGCAGCCCATGAAACATACTCTGTGACTTTTAAGGAGGAGAAAAAGACTTTTTTTTTTTTTTTTTTTTCAGAGACAGGGTCTCTCTCTATTGCCCAGGCTGGAGGGCAGTGACACCATCACAGCTCACTACAGCCTCCACCTCCCTGGGCTCAAGCGATCCTCCCACCTCAGCCTCCCGAGTAGCTGGGACTACAGGTGTGCACCACCGTACCTGGCTAATTTTGGGTGTTTTTTTTTTTTTTTTAGAGATGGGGGTCTTGCCATGTTGCCCAGGCCGATCCTCAACTCCTGGGCTCAAACAATCCTTCTACCTTGGCCTCCCAAAGTGCTGGGATTTCAGGCATTAGCTACCACACCGGGCCAGCATTTTTTAATGAAACTTCTCTTTAGCAGAAGAAGGCCAAAGAAGCTGGGACACATACGACTTTTTTTCCTCCCGGAGAACCAAGCTTTTTTGGGAGGAATCTATCATCACCATTTAAGCCTAATTCTCTCAAAACACAAGATGGTACCTTCTAACAACACAAGAGACGACACTGATTTTGAACAATGTGATGGGCTGAACCTGACAACAGCCACTCTTATTGTTGATTGATTGGATGTGGGTTAAAACCAAATTAGATTGGCTGTTTTTGTAGTTCTTGACATGAATCCATGTCAGAACTCTGAGAGTCAAGGAGCAGATGAGAAACTCATGCTAGCTCCTCTTAAATTAAGCAGAGGGAAGCTTGTGGAATGTGTTGGATTGGAAATCTTGCCACCCAAAAAGCCACGGAGGGAGGGAATAGGTGAGTCTGGTTGGGGGTCCTGGGTGTAAAATGGGATAATTGCAGCAGGGTGAATGGCAAGCCTCTGTGATTCACAGAAAACCAGCCTGGAATGACTCCAATAATACAAAGACAGATGGAAAGCACAGTCTCTCATTTTGAAGTCACAGGATATCTATGCCCTGAATTTGGGCCTCCCATAACGTGAATGTTATACTCAAGTCTTTAGAAATTATACTTTGAGTTCCCAACCTCCAGCTGGGTGGAGGTGGGAGTGAGCTTGACTTCTTTGCCCAAGTGGGATGCAGTAAGAAAGCTCTGGAAACCTGGATTCTAGTTCCATGCTGATTCCAAAGAGCTAAGTGGCATTGAGTATGTCTCCAACCCTCTCTGGGACTCAGTTTCCTCTTTTGTAAAATCTTAGGGAAAAGAATGGGTTGAGAGAGAAGACGTAACCCTTAAGGTATGGGCTTTCGGGTCATAGTGCCGGGTTTTTTTGTTTTGTTTTTGTTTTTGTTTTTTGAGACGGAGTCTCGCTGTTGCCCAGGCTGGAGTGCAGTGGCGTGATCTCGGCTCACTGCAGGGTCCCCCCCAGGGCTCTCGCCATTCTCCTGCCTCAGCCTCCCAAGTAGCTGGGACCACAGGCGCCCGCCACCTCGCCCGGCTAATTTTTTGTATTTTTCGTAGAGACGGGGTTTCACCGTGTTAGCCAGAATGGTCTCGATCTCCTGACCTCGTGATCCGCCCACCTCGGCCTCCCAAAGTGCTGGGATTACAGGCGTGAGCCACTGAGCCCGGCCATAGTGCTGGGTTTTAATCCCACCTTTCTTAATGAGGCAAATTGTTTAACCCTTCTGAGCTTCAGTTTTCTCATCTGTAAGGCAGAGACAATAATATCTACCTTAATGAATTTGCTTACAAGTTAAATGACATACTGTGTCCCAAACACATAGCTTACGTCCTGACCCACAGGAAAAGTTTTTTAAAGTTTTTTATTTTTATTTTTTTAATAGAGACAGGGCCTGACTATGTTGCCCAGGCTAGTCTCCTGGGCTTAAGTGATCCTCCCGCCTCAGCCTAGAAAAATATTTTAGGAAAAAACAACTTACACATAACAAAATGCTCAGATCTGAAGCATTCAGTCAACTTGGATAACTGCATATCAAGATATAAAACATTTCCAGCAGGTGGTGCAGGTGGTGGCTCACTCCTGTGATCCCAGCACTTTGGGAGGTCAAGGGGTGGATCGCTTGAGCCCAAGAGTTAATGACCAGCTTGGATAACATGGCAAGACTCTGTCTCTACAAAAAATACAAAACACTAGTTGGATGTGGTAGCACATGCCTGTGGTCCCAGCTACTCAGGAGGCTGAGGTGTGAGGATCACTTGAGCCTGGGAGGGGGAGGCTGCCGTCAGCTGAGATCCCGCCACTGCACTCCAGCCTGGGTGACAGAGCAAGACCCCACCTCAAAAAAGAAAAGCAAAGAAAAAATTCATCATCCCAGATAGTTTTCTCATGCCCTTTCCTAGTCAACCCACTTCCCAGAAGCAGCCGCAGATCTGCTTTCTATCACCACGGGTTAGTTGTGTCTGTTTTAGAATTTCACTGGAATAGAACCAGACAGTACACAGATGCTCCTCAACTTGCAATGGTGTCACATCCTGATAAATCCATCCTAAATAGAAAATATCATTAAGTCAAAAATGCATTCGGCAGGGGAAGGGGCAACGGTTAGGTAGAATGGCTGGAGTTTGGTAGAATGAATAAGATCTAGTATTTGATAGCGTAACAAGGTGACTACAGTCAACAATAATTTGTTATACATTTTAAAATAACTAAAAGAATATAACTGGATTGTTTGTAACACAAAGAAATGATAAATGCTTACCTCAATGTGATTATGACACATTGTATGCTTGTATTAAAATATCTCGTGTACCCCATAAACATATACACCTACTATACCGACAAAAAAAATTTTTAATGCATTTAAGCCAGACACAATGGCTCACACCTATAATCCCAGTACTTTGAATGCCAGGAATTCAAGACCAACCTGGGCAAAATAGTAAGACCCCACCTGTACAAAAAAAAAAATTTTTGAAAAATTAGCCACACATGGTGGTATATGCCTCTAGTCCCAGCTACTCGGGAAGCTGAGGTGAAAGGATGTCTTGGGCCCAGGAGTTAGAGGCTACAATGAGCTATGATCATACCACAGCACTCCAGCCTGGATGATAGAGTGAGAAGTTATCTTTAAAAAAAAAAAAAAAAAAAAAAGTAAAAAAAATGCATTTAATACGCCTAACCTACCAAACATCCTAGCTTAGCCTAGCCTGCCTTGAGTGCGCTCAGAACACTTACATTAGCTTACAGTTGGGCAAAATCACCTAACACAAAGTCTATTGTATAATGATGTGTTGAATATCTTAGGTAATTTATTGAATACTGTCCTGAAGTGAAAAACAGAATGGTTGTACGGGTACTCAAAATACGGTTTCTACTGAACATGTATCTCTTTCACAGGATCATAAAGTTGAAAAATTAAAGTCAAAAATCATTCATATTCATATTGTGTGTATCTGTAATCATTTCTTTCTTTCTTTTTTTTTTTTTAAGAGACGGGATCTCATTCTGTCACCCAGATTGGAGTGCAGTGGTGCAGTCATAGCTCACTGCAGCCTTGAACTCCAGGACTCAAGGGATCTTCCCACTTCAGCTTCCTGAGTAGCTGGGATTACAAGCTTGAGCCACCATGCCTGACAGTAGATCATTTCTTGATGGTGTGTAGTATTTCATTGTATAAATATGCTGCATTTTACTCATTCTATTGTTGATGAGCATCAGGGCTATTTTTAGTTTTTGACTGCTATGAATAAAGCAGCTATGAACAATCTAGCTTGAATTTAGTACAAGATTTTTGTGGACAAATATTTTCGTCTCTCTTGGGTAATATCTAGGAGTGGAATGCTGGCTCATAGGTTAGATGTATGTTAAATTTTTAAAAGAGACTCCAGTTTTCTTTAATTTTTTTACTTTTATTTTAGGTTTAGGGGTGCATGTGAAGGTATGTTACATATGTAAACACATATCACGGGAGTTTGTTGTACATATCATTCCATCACCCAGTTATTAAGCCCAGTACCCAATAGTGATCTTTTTTGCTCCTCTCCCCCTCCCACCCTCCCCCTTCAAGTAGACCCCAATGTCTGTTGTTTCCTTCTTTCCGTTCATAAGTTCTCATCATTTAGCTCCCAGAAACCCCAGTTTTCTAAAGTGGCTGTACTGGCGGGGCATGGTGGCTCACGCCTATAATCCCAAGGCTTTGGGAGGCCAAGGTGGGAGGATGACTTTAGGCCAGTAGTTCGAGATCAGCTTGGGCAACATAGTGAGATCCTGTCTCTACAAAAAATTTAAAAATTAGTTGAGGGTGGTGGTATGCACCTGTAGCCCCAGCTACTCAGAAAGCGGAGGCAGGAGGATTGCTTGGGCCCAGGACGTCGAGGCTGCAGTGAGCTATGATGGTGTAACTGCACTCCAGCCTGGGTAAAAAAGCAAGACCCTGCCTCTAAAAAATATATAAATTTGGAACAAGATAGAGGTGGTGGCTATACAACACTGTGAAAGCACTAAAATGCTACTGAATTGTATACTTTAAAATGGTCAGTTTTATGTCATGTGAATTTTACTCCAATAAGTTAAAAAATAAAAACAAAACTCTTCTCTAGAGTCTCTTCCTCATTGATGAGCACAATTTTGCCATTAGTGATTTAGTCCTTTAGATAGTGAAGTGGGCAAGGAAGGAGTGGAGGGAAATGGAGTCAGAGAGGCGAAGGAGGTGAAGTGGTTCTTGCAGGCTCTGTGGGTCCCAGTGAGGACTTTGGCCTTTACCTGAGTGAGATGGGGACAGGTGATGGAGGTGATCTCACAAGTTTTAAGAGGATCCCTCTGACTGCTGTTTTGAGAACAGACTACCAGTGAGGAGGCTGCTGCAATATCCAGGTGAGATGAGGATAGTGAAGTGGTGAGATAGTATCATTCTGGATTTTTAAGGTTGAGTGTCAAGGAGATACTTCAGGGTCAGAAGTGGAGTATGACAGAGAGAGGGAAGTTAAGAATAACTTCAAGGTTTTTGGCCCAAGCAACTGGAAGAATTAAGATGTTGTTTAAGACACAGAGAAGTGAAAGATATTCCAATGTGTTCATGGATTGGAAGAATTAATATTTCTAAAATGTCCATATTACCCAAAGCAACCTACAGATGAAATGTAATCCCTATCAAAATTCCAATGGTATTTTTCACAGAAATAAAAAAGAAAATCCCAAAATTCATATGACCCACAAGAGACCTCACATAACCAGAGCAATCTTGAGAAAGAACAAAGCTGGAGGCATCACACTTCCTGATTTCAAATTATATTACAAAGCTCTAGTAATCAAAACAATATGGTACTGACATAAAAACAATAGTTCAATTGAAAAGAACAAAGAGCCTGGAAATAGACCCAAGCATATATGGTCAACTAATCTTTGACAAGGGCACTAAGAATACACAAAAGGGGAAAGATAACCTCTTCAATAAATGGTGTTGGGCTGGGCAAAGTGGCTCAAGCCTGTAATCTTAGACCTTTGGGAAGGTGAGGCAGGAGGATCACTTAAGCCCAGGAGTTCAAGACCAGCCTAGGCAACATACTGGGACTCTGTCTCTACAAAAAATAAAAAAATAGCTGGGTGTGGTGGTGTGCACCTGCAGTCCCAGCTACTTGGGAGGCTGAGGCAGGAAGATCACTTGAGTCTTTGGCTACAATGAGCCATAATTGTGCCATTGCACTCCAGCCTGGGCAATAGAGAGATTCTGTCTCAAAAAAAAATAAAAAATAAATGGTGCTTGGAAAACTAGATAGCCACTTACAAAATAATGAAATTGAACCCTTATACTATATACAAAAATCATCTCAAAATAGATTAAACACTTAAATATAAAATCTGAAATTTTAAAACTCCTAGAAGAAAACAGGGAAAAAGCTTTTTAAAATCATATATATGTAATTTAATTTTTTTTTTTTTTTTTTTTTTTTTTTTGCAGAGATGGTGTCTCACTATGTTCTCACTATGTTGCCCAGGCTCGTCTCAAACTCTGGGCCTCAAATGTCTTCCCAGCTAGGCCTCTCAAAATGCTGGGATTATAAGTGTGAGCCACCACACCCAGCCGGGAAAAAGCATTTTGACATTGGCCTTGGCAACAATTTTTTGGATATGGCAACTAAAGCACAGGCAACAAACACAAAAATAAAAAAAATAGGACTGCATCAAACTAAAAAGTTTCTGCACAGCAAAGGAAACAATCAACAAAATGAAAAGGCCATCTACAGAATGGAAGAAAATGTTTGCAAATCATATATATGATAGGGTATTAATATCCAAAATATATAAGAAACTCATACAACTCCATAGCAAAAAAACAACCCAACGAACCCAATTTTTTAAATGGTCAAAGGACCTAAATAGACAGTTTTCCAAAGAAAACATACTAATGGTCAGCAGGTCTATGGAAGGGTTATCAACATCACTAAATATGCAAATCAAAACCGGGAGATATCACCTCACACCTATTAGAGGGGCTATTATTTTAAAAACAAAAGGTAACTGTTGGCAAAGATGTTTAGAAATTGGAACCTGGTACTCTACTGGTGGGAATGTAAATTGGTACAGCCATTATAGAAAATGGTGTGGAGGCTCCTCAAAAAATAATAATAAAAAAAGAACTACCAAATGATCCAACAATCCCACTTCTGGGTATTTATCCAAAGGAAATTAAATCAGTATCTCAAAGAAATGCTACATTCCTATGTTTATTGCAGCATTATTCATAATAGATAAGATACAGAAACAACCTATATGTTCATCAACTGATGAATGGATAAAGGAAATGTGGTGTACATACAATGGAATATTATTAAGCCTTAACAAAAAAAAAAAAAGGAGGCCGGGCGTGGTGGCTCATGCCTGTAATCCCAGCACTTTGGGAGGCCGAGGTGGGCGGATCACGAGGTCAGGAGATCGAGACCATCTTGGCTAACACAGTGAAACCCCATCTCTACTAAAAATACAAAAAATTAGCCAGGCGTGGTGGTGGGAGCCTGTAGTCGCAGCTAATCGGGAGGCTGAGGTAAAAGAATGGCATGAACCTGGGAAGCGGAGCTTGCAGTGAGCCGAGATCGGGCCACTGCACTCCAGCCTGGGCGACAGAGCAAGACTCTGCCTCAAAAAAAACAAAAAAAAAACCACAAAACGGAAATCCAGGCTAGGCACAGTGGCTCACGCCTATAACCCCAGAGGCCGGGGCGGGCAGGTCACGATGTCAGGAGTTTGAGACCAGTCTGGCCAACATGGTGAAACCCTGTCTCTACTAAAAATACAAAAATTAGCCGGGCATGATGACGAGTGCCTGTAGTCCCAGATACTCAGGAGGCTGAGGCAGGAGAATCACTTGAACCCAGGAGGTGGAGGTTGCAGTGAGCCGAGATCGTACCACTGCACTCCAGCCTGGGTGACAGAGCGAGACTCCATCTCAAAAAAAAAAAAACAGAAAAGAAAAAAAAAAAAAAGAAATTCTGCCATTTGCAACAACATGAATGGACCTGTGAAATAAGCCAGACACAGAGCGAGAAATATTGCATGATCTCATTTATATGTAGAATCTAAAATAGTCAAACCTGCAAAATCAGAGAGTAGAATGGAGGTTGCTAAGGACTGGGAGTAGTGGGTGACGGGGAGCTGTTGGTTAAGGGGCACAAAGTTTCAGTTATGCAAGATGAAAGCGTGCTGGAGATCTAATGTATAGCACGGTGACTATAGACAATGATACTGTACTATAGTCATCCCTGGGTATCTGCCTGGGATTTGTTTCAGGACCCCCACAGACATCAAAATCCACACATATTCAAGTCTCGAGGTGGGCCCTGTGAAACCCACCTCTAGGAGAAGTTAGTCCTCCATATATGTGGATTTCGCATCCCACAAACACTATTTTTGATATGCCCTTGGTTGTAGATGTGGATGTGGATATGAAGGAATTGTATTTACTGAAAAAAAGCTGCGTATAAGTGGACCACACAGTTCAAACCCATGTTGCTCAAGGGTCAACCGTATATACTTGAAATTTTCTAAGATCCTAAGTGTTCTCACCCCCACGCCCCACCGCCCGACACACACACATATAACTATGTGAGGTGATGGATATTTTAATTAGCTTGATTGTGGTGATTATTTCACAACATATACGTATATCAAATCAGCAAGTTGTATATTTTAAATAGATACTTTGTTTTTCTTAAGATGCTCTTTAAGATAGGGAAGACCACGAAAAGAGCAGGCTTGGGGCTGCTGGTGAGATCAGGAATGTGCTTTGAGATGCCTGTTGTGTATTCAAATGGAGATAATGAGTAGGAAGTCAGATATGTGAGTCTGGAGCTCAGGAGTAGGGCTGGAGAGATCCGTCTGGGAGACATCAGCATGTGAGTGGTGTGATGGTTAATTTTATATGTCAACTTGACTAGGCCACAGGACGAGCAGGTATCTGATTAAATAGTATTTCTGGGTGTGTCTGTGTTCCGGAAGAGATTAGCATTTGAATCTGTGGACTGAGTAAAGCGGGTGGGCCTCATCCATTTAAGGGCCTGAACAGAACAAAAAGAGGAAGGTTGGACTCGCCCTCCCGCTGTCTGACTGCATGAGCTGGGACATTTGTCTTCTCTCAGCACTCCAGGTTCTCAGGCCTTCAGACTCAGACAGAATCTACACCATCGGCCCCTTACTGGCTTTCTTGGGTTTCCAGCTTGCAGGCAGCAGATCGTGGGACTTCTCGGCCTCCATAATCACTGGAGACAATATCTTGTAAGAAGTCTCGCTGGGTACGGTGGTTCATGCCTGTAATCCCAGCACTTTGGGAGGCCAAGGCAGGTGGATCACTTGTGGCCAGGAGTTCGAGACCAGCCTGGCCAACATGGCGAAACCCCATCTCTACTAAAAATACAAAAACTAGCTGTGCGTGGTGGCACATGCCTGTAATCCCAGCTACTTGGGAGGCTGAGGCAGGAGAATCGCTTGAACCCGGGAGGCGGAGGCTGCAGGGAGCTGAGATCGCGCCACTGCACTCCAACCTGGGTGACAGAGCAAGACTCCATCTCAAAAAATACAAACTTTTAAAGTCTCCTTCTATGTTTCTCTGGAAAATCCTAATACGGGTGGTATTTAAAGCCACGAGCCTAGATGAGATCTTCAAAGGAGTACGTGCAGAGAGGAAGTCTAGGGACTGGAGCTTCTGTGTAACAGAGGATAGAGGACTAAGGACTGAAGCCTGGGCCCCTCTCAAGAGGAGGAACCAGTAATGCAGGAGGGAAATCGGGAGAGGATGGGTCCCGAAAACCAAGAGAACCAAATGCTGCAAACTCTGCCCACAGTACATGTGGAAGAAGGGTTTGGTGGAGCAGAGGATGACAGCCCTTGCTTTCTGAGGGCCATTCTCTGGCCCAGCCTTTAAGGGAAAGAATTTAAGGAAGTTGGATCTATTGAGGTAGCACTGCTCCCGGGAGCCAGAAGCTGTCTCTCCTCCACAAGCTGAAACAGGTCTGCACTATAGGCCTGGCCCCTGCTCTCCCAGCCTCATTTCCCTGTGGTCTCAAGTCCTGCTGAGCCTTTAAGATTCAGCTCCATCACTTCCACTCTGCCAGGTGGCTGCACCGACCCCTCGAGATTGAGCTGGGTGCCCCTGGGAACACCTGCTGCTCCTCTGTTGGAGAAACTCCCCACATCAAACCTGCTTACATGTCTGCGTCTCCCACTCAGCCAGGTGCACTCTGGGTTTCCGGGAAGGTTCCTTATTTCTGCATCCTCAGTTCCTAGCATGGTGCCTGGCATTGAAGCTCTCGGTAAGTGTTATGAAACAGAAACAATCCGCAGAAGCTCCTTCTCAAGCCAGTATCTAGCCCTTCATTATGCACAATCCCCAGCCCCTGGACTTCCTCTCCTGAAACCTGAAGTGCTGGGAGATCTTGCCAAGCCCCTCTGCAGCAGAGCAGGACCCTCATAGCACTGTGCCTACCAACACTCGCTAAATACCTGTTAAATACCAAGGAATGTGCCGTGGGCTGGGTCTAAATCCCAGCTTGGACATTCTCAAAGTAGTCTGGACTTCAGTTTCCCATCTCCAAAACAGAGATGATAGTCGCTCATCTCTTAAGATCCTCATCAGTCCTGGCATTTGGGAAAGCTGTCTGGCAGGCTGTAAATGAGCTGGGCAAATCCGAGTTACCAAGAGGTCAGGGCTTTTCCTCAGCAGCTGATTCAGGGCAAGTGACTAGACCTGGCCAATGCCACGTAAGGCCTTTTACTGTATTGCACTTGGTTTTTCTCAAGCCACTTTGAAGACAAGCAGCATCTTCCTCAGAAGGAACCTGGGGAATGAGTGGGGCCTGGACCCAGTGGAAACTCTAACACACCCACGGCCATTCACAAGTGTTTCCAGTGACTAAGGGCCACACGAAGCACTTAGCCGGATCCTTCCTGAAAACTTCTTCCAGAATGGCTCAGCCTGCAGAACTGCTCTTACCGAAGCCATCCTATTCTGGCCATCCTCACCCCCACTGTCCCACTTCTCTGGGGGTCAAGCCTTTCCCTCATCCCCGGGGCAGGGCCCTAGGCTTCCCCTCTCCCTCAGCAAAAGACAACACAGGCAGGTTCTGAAGCATGCATGTCAGTTTATTCACCATACTTCCCCCAGGAACCCTCTCACTGGTCAGGGAATGAAAGAATTGAAGGGATGGGGGATGTACAGGTAGAAGTAAAAGGCACACCTTGAACGTGCTATGATGGGTTGAAAAGAGGTTGGTCTGAAATTGACGAGCCTCCCATTTCAGAGGCTCAGGAAGTTTGTGCCCAGGAAATATGCACGCCTTCAGCCAAATCCCCTGCACCTGATGGAGCAGAAGCAGGCACTGCCTACCCTGGCCTGGCTGTCTGCTGGCTCTCACGCCAGGCATTTTCTGGGCCTGGCTGTCACAGCTAGTGGGATCACTAACGCTGCATGTCCATGGCATCTTGGCCTAAACAAACAGGTGAGGCCTGGCTCTGTCTACACAGCAGCAACAAAGGTGACTGATCAGGAGGAGATCTGTAGTGCACAAATAATGGGAGAGGGTGTGCTTGTCAGCATTAGACAATGACTCCCAAATGTAGTGTAAACCCACAAGGAGGGGGCAACTCAAGGAGGGACACATGACTAAGCAAGAAAATGTGACTCTGTGAGCTGACCCGGCTTCTGAACAAACCTAATACAGTCTATGCTCACAGTGTGTTTCAGCCCCCTTGACTCTAAACCGTCACAGAAGCAGAAGGAAGAGGAAGTGGTGGATTGCCCAGCTGGAGCCTGGGGACTGTTACGACTGTCTAGATCTCTGCGGTCATAGGGCGTCACAGCCTCCTCAGACCCTGAGCCTGGAATGCGGGGGAACACAATGTAGATTCCCAGGAGGGCTGTCCCCAAGACCCTCTCCCTGCCCGCCCAGCTCCTCAGGCCTCCTCTTCTACCGCTTCTTCTTAGTCTCTTTCTTGGGCCTCTTGTTCACAGAAGGAACAGCAGCCTTGGGCTTCCTCGTCACCTCAGCACTTCTGGGCTCAGACGGTTCAGCCTCCTGTGAGGTGATAAAAAGGAGAGTCCTGCTTAGATGGATCAAGCCTGACGCCAGCAAAAGGAGATCACATCTGAAAGCAAAGAAGCATGCCACAGAAACACAAGAGATGGAAACTGTCATTCCCGGGACCTACCACCCACACGGATGTGGGACTGCCCCGGAGCATCGTGGCTCTCAGTGAAGAATAAAGGAAGCCCCACGGGGAGGGAGCAGCTTGTGGGGTCTCAGACGCCCAGGTAGAACCTGGGATCCTTCCCTTTCCAGCCAACTGACCTTGTGTGAAACTCACTTCCCCTTTCTGTGTCTTGGTTTACTCACCTGTGAAATGGAAATAGCCACACCCGCCTTACAGGGCTGATGTGAGGAGGCAAAACTACGTGGAAAGCACCCAGGAAGTGCCAGCTGCACCCAGTGACTGGCCGATCACCTCGTGCCAGGGACTGGACAAAATGTGGGCGAGGAGCTGGCTATGGGGCAGACCCACTGTGGCTTGCCCTCCTCTGGCTGCCATTCTTGTCCTCCCATTCAACCCACAGAATGCCAGGACTGGGAGGGGTGCAGAGGGCCAGCCGGCAGGTGGGCAGTCCCACACTGTGTTCTGCGGAGCCTGTCAGAGGTGCCTCTGTGGGGGAGGGCAGAGGCAGCCTCGGGGCAGAATTCCAGACTCCCTGGGCGACAGGAGCAGCTCTGATTTTCAATCTATTTCATACACTGTGATTTGTCCCTTGTAAGATTGAAATGAAACAAAGTTCTGCTGCTAAGGAACGAAAGGTTGAAACCCACAGATCTAGCCCTGGCGTTCATTGTGCTGATAAGGAAGGGAGACTCCAGGGAAGGGACACAGCTTGGCCCAGCCACTCAGGCTCATGTCAGAGAAGTATCTGGAATAGGCTCAGTGTGCTCCTATCTAGTGTCCTCTCCTCCTCTGGGTGATAACTTGCAGTGTGCCGTGGCCAGAAAGGACGGACGTCAGAGAGGCCGGGCTAGCCCAGAGAACGCCAACCACAGCCCACAGGCCTCGTCCAGGCCACAGACTTCATCTGGCCGGCAGTGTTTATTTAAAAATTTAAGCCAATTGGGAGATTTCCCATGAAATCTGGATTCCTAGATTCTCTTGAAACTAACCATCCGGTGACAATGGCCCTGCATTCCCTCATGGCAGTGAGGGGCTGAGGAGGCGCTGCCCCTTTTCAGGTGCCGACCGTGGCCCCCACACCCTGCCGCCCCCAGCACTATGATTGGGAAATGTTTCTCAGTGCCCATGTTCTTTATTGAGAAATGGGAAAATAAGAAGCAGACTAAGACTCCTGGGAGGGGGGACACTTCCAGATGAGAAAAATACCCCTCTGTGTTTCATTTCCCAACCCCGGCTTCCAGCTCACTTTACTCCCTGACCTTCCCTGCTTGCCCCATTGGCCCGTGGCCCAAGCCTCAGCCCACCCTACAGAAGAGGAGGGCCCATGCAGGGAAGGGCAGTCCCTGCCTCGGATCTGATCCAGAGGCCTGTCAGCTCCCTCCTATCGGCCAACATCGTCTCCCATCAGCCAGGCGAGATAACCAGATATGAAGAGCCAGCCAGGTCCCAGGCCCCCAAGGAGTGATTGTCCCAAGATAACTGGAGGGCTTCCCCTCCCCAGCCAGGCCTCTCACTGCAGTGCTGGATTCCTTCGGCCTGCTGAGCCTCCTCCCACCAAAAATCAAAATGATCTGAAGGTCCCCCTACTCTGTTTATGTAACTTGGCCAAAACAAAACAAAACAAAATTTGCAAGGCCTGCCTGGATCTCTAGGAAGGAGTCTGCCTTCTGAGCTCAAGGCTGGGGGCTCCTCCAGTTTCAGTGGGGCTCAGTTCAGAGACCACAGGGACAGTGAGACCCAGTTGCCGCCCCAGTGCCTCCCTCACTCCACAGGCCCTGTCTCTAGAGCCTCAACCATTCTGGCACCTCCCAGACCTCTCCCTTGATCCAGCTGTCTGCCAGACAATCAGGACTGGCATCTCCAAGGCACCTCCAACTTAACTGTCCCAGACCCAGAAGGCCCGGCCCTCCTCCCACTGGTGGAGCAACCAGAGACCCGGTAACCTCACCCTCTCTCTGCTCCCCACTGTCCAGTGGGTCACCATGTCCTGCTGACATGACCCCCTCTACCTCTTGATTCTGCTACTCTCTCCAGCATCCAATTCCCCCTTCAGTTCCGCCCACAGCTAAGCAAAGTGCCTGCTGTCTCTGTCCATTCCTCATGCACCCACGAAAGGAACTATTCTAAAGTGCAGGTCTGACCACTGCACCTTCCACCTTAAAGCTTCCAGTGGCTGTCTCTGGAATGGCATCTAAGAAAGGCCACCTCTCCAGCCTCACATGGGCTCCTCTTCATCCCTCACACTGAGTCAGGCCCCAGAGCTTCCGCTGGTCACCTTCATCAACAGGAATACCTGTTTCCTTGGCCACCCGGCAAACTGCTCCCATGGTTTGGCCCTGTCCATGAATACACTCCTACTCACTGTCTAGCCTTCCTTCCCTGCTCCTCCTTCCAGCTGGGGGCAGCCCCTCCTCCCTCCTCGGGCCCCTAGGCACCCAGGAACCTTATAATGCCACCATTCTTTTTAAGACAAGGTCTCACTCTTTTGCCCAGGCTGGAGTGCAGTGGCTCGATATTAGCTCATTGCAACCTCCGCCTTCCAGGTTCAAGTGATTCTCCTGCCTCAGCCTCCTGAGTAGCTAGAATTACAGGCACCCGCCACCACGCACAGCTAATTTTTTATATTTTTAGTAGAGATGGGGTTTTATCATGTTGGCCAAGCTGGTCTCAAACTCCTAACCTCCAGTGATCCACCCGCCTCAGCCTCCCACAGTGCTGGGATTACAGGCGTGAGCCACTGCGCCCAGCCCATAATGCCACTATTATTTTCCCATAGTTACATGTTTTCTTTGTTTTTTTTTGAGACGGAGTCTCGCTCTGTCGCCCAGGCTGGAGTGCAGTGGCTCGATCTCGGCTCATTGCAAGTTCCGCCTCCTGGGTTCATGCCATTCTCCTGCCTCAGCCTCCCGAGTAGCTGGGGCTACAGGCACCCGCTACTGGCTAATTTTTATGTTTTTAGTAGAGACGGGGTTTCACCATGTTAGCCAAGATGGTCTCGATCTCCTGACCTCGTGATCTGCCCGATTCGGCCTCCCAAAGTGCTGGGATTACAGGCGTGAGCCACCGCGCCCAGCCAGTTACATGTTTTCATGTTAGTCTCCCCTATTAGCCCATGAGCACTTTGGGATAGCTTCAACTGTTGCTGAATCAATGAATGAGTGAATGAATGAATGAAATGAAAGAACAGCCAAGGTCTCCCAGTAACCATGAGAACTTCATTCTTGTTTATTCCCATGAAAATACAGCACTTAAAACCAGGCCTCACTTTTCCATGATCACAGAGGATATGAACAGACTTAAAACCGAATATACATACCCTGGCCTAAATTATGCCTTAAGCATAGCTGCCAATAATAACAACAGCTGGGCGTGGTGGCACATGCTTGTCCTCCCAGCTACTCGAGAGGTTGAGACAGGAGGATCACTAAAGCCCAAGAATTTGAGGCTGTAGTGCGCTATGACTGTGTCTGTAAATAGCTACTACACTCCAGCCTGGGCAACAGAGAGAGATTCCCTCTCTAAAAAACAAGAGCCACAACAGCTGCTAATTATTTATTGTTTATAATATGCCAGACCCTGTGTTATGTGTCTGGACATGACGGCCTCACAAAGTGCCATAATGAGGCCCAATTTATAAACAAAGGAACAGACACTCAGGTCATATGACTTGCCTAAGGCCTTAGCTGGTGAGTAGCAGACCCAAGATTTGAAACTAACCTCTTCATGGGTACACGGTCCAGCCTCTCCCAGGTTTCCTGGGGCCCTCAGGGGTAGGAATAAGTTGAATCTGAGTTAACTATGAAATCTACTCTCTACTTAGCAGCCCCCAGAACCACAAGGTGCCTCTGGAATGGTAAGTACAGCTCCTCTGAGAACCTATCTGTCAATGGGTCACCTACAACCCCTTGTTTGTGACTAAAGTCCCTACAGCAATCAGAAAAGTGGGTTTGTGCTCCAGATCACGCTTGATTTTTTACAGCTGAAGGGAGTCTTCTGTGGGTGTGTGTACATATTACAGTTATCGAGTCATCTGAATGCTTGATCTGTCTCCTCCTCACCCCAGACCTCCTCCTCTCTTCCCTACCTCAGCTTTTAGAGCCGTCACGCACCCAGTTACCCAAGCTAGATACCTCCAAGTCATTTATGAGTTCTCAGCATCCAACCTGTCCCCAAGGTCTGTCCATTCCGCTTTCCAACGGGCTCTAGACCCAGCCAGTCCCCTCTGGACACACTCCACTGCCCAGATCAGACCCAGGTCCCCTGCCGGCCCCACTGGTTGCATCTGCCTCCCACAGACTCTCCTGCCCGTGCCTCTACCTCCCCATGCTCGTCAGAGTTTACTTTACGTTCCTTTCAGAGTCGATTTTCCTAAAACAATGACAACAGGCCGGGCGCGGTGGCTCACGCCCGTAATCCCAGCACTTTGGGAAGCCAAGGCAGGTGGATCACCTGAGGTCGGGAGTTCAAGACCAGCCTGACCAACATGGAGAAATGCCATCTCTATTAAAAATACAAAATTAGCCAGGCGTGGTGGTGCATGCCTGTAATCCCAGCTACTCAGGAGGCTGAGGCAGGAGAATCACTTGAACCCAGGAGGTGGGGGCTGCCGTGAGCCGAGATCATGCCATTGCACTCCAGCCTGGGCAACAAGAGCAAAACTCAAAAAAAGTTTCGCTCAAAACAAAAACAAACAAACAAATAAAAAAAACAATGACAACAACAATCCCAATCGTGTCTGTTTCCTCCTTCAAAAACTTTGCTGGTTCCCCTTTGTGTGAGATAAATTCCAAGACACCCAGCAGGGGCTCCAGGCCTCTTGCTCGGTCTTGGCCCCTGTCTCCAGGCAGGCCCCGTCGTGCAGCCTACTCTTGTCACCCTGAGATACTGGCCAGCCAGTGTCTCCCAGTACTCTGCTCCCTTTCCTCCTCTGTATCTCTACCTGCACCCAGTACATGTGGGCACTGTGCCACGGGGAATGAAGATGAGAACGCACACTTAGTGGCTGTGTGCCATGTGGATGCTCACCGAGCCTCTCCATCGCCCTGGTGAGCCAGCCACCACGAGCCACACTCCACTGGCAAGGCCACTCAGGCTCCCTGAGGCCAGGTGACGGCCCCATGCAAGCTGCAGGGAAGCAAAGGCGGCCGTGACCCACATGACCTGGGCCCTGGGGTCCCAGCCACACAGGGCCTGTAGCTCCAAGTTCTTCACTGACAAGAATGACTCTCAATT
Organism: Homo sapiens; assembly: GCF_000001405.40. NCBI lineage: Eukaryota > Metazoa > Chordata > Mammalia > Primates > Hominidae > Homo > Homo sapiens. The sequence continues at coordinate 220,441 of NW_025791812.1, read as the reverse complement.
AAGGGCTGCCTTTTCATTTCTCCTCAAATGTACGCTGCCCGTACCAGCCACACAGACGGCAGACTACAAAGCCGACAGCCCTGCCTTTAAATCTGGGAGCACTGCGCCTCCTCTCAAGCGAGCCTCAAGTTTCCTCAGCAATCACACTGTCACATATAAAAGAAAACTCCCGAGGCCAGGTGGCTCCTGGGTTCACAGTGGCGTCCTCTGTGGACACAGGCCCCATCAATAATGAAGCAGCTCTGCAGCGCTTACCAGGCCAGAAAATTGCTGCTATTCATCAGATCCAAATAATCAAATGTGTGCCACAATACATCATATCCCTTCCAGCATGAAAAGTGCATTGAATTTTATGATTTCCACTCTACAGTTCAATGTGGATTTAGTCCTGTAAATCAGGACAAAATGTCATTCTACGCAGGCCACTCTTTCCTTGAAAATGGCCCAGGTGCTATACTCAGGCATCTTCGTGCACCTTATCTTGCATGACCCTCTAAGAACAATGGAGTTAGGCAGGAATATCCTCTTCTGATGACGGAGGCAGACTAAAAGCAGGTCAGCACTCAGACCAGTCTGCTTAACGCTGAAGGTGCTGCCCATCCCAGCGGGCCATGAGGGCCTGAGACAGGGTGGGAGCTGAGAAGGCCTCGCAGAGATGAAACTAGCAGTGGCCTTGAGGAAAGATAGGACTGGCTGAAACAGAGAGCAAGGAAGGCCATCCATGTGGACTCAACAAGGCAAACGGAGACACGGAGTCCAGGATGCGCTTGGCAGGCGGGGAGAACTGTGATTAGAAAGAACAGCCTTGGGAGCTCATTCCAGACACAATTCAGCACGACTATGCTGGCCCTCCCCACTGGCTGCTCTGTGGCTCCTTGTGTGTCCAGCCGTCTCTCCCAAGAACCGGTCGGTACACATCTCCAGACCACAGGCTGGTGGAAGCATGTTTATACCCTCATCACACGGCAATCTCTCCAGAACGGGTCATTAAGTAAAAAACAGCCTGCCTCTCAATTCAACTGCAACCTCCTCCCAAGCTTTAAAACCACACAGAGCAGAAATGCACAGTTGCTTCTGTGAGTCTGTGTCCTGAGGTGTTGAGAATGGGTGGATGCTTGCCTGGGGCTCATTATTTATTTACGGCAGGCCTCACTGGCAACTAGCGGCCTCGTTTAAAATCAAGACCCTTGTGCAAAATTTTCCAGAAGAGTCCTGACCTTCTAGGCCACTGTCCTACTGCACCACAGGAATGAGCCACCTGTGGTGCAGTAGGTGCAGGTGGCTCACCATACTGATGAGCCAAAACATCATCAGGGGTCTAAACACTGCAGGGCTTTCTGGTTGGTTGTGAAGTCTCCACGGGCATCATATTGAAAGCCACCACTCTCACCATCGCCCGTGGCGAGTCCTCCACTAGATCGCAATGCTGGCCACCGGCTGTCTGTCTTCCCAGCACCTCTTTTCCATGGGGACCCTGCCCTTTCCCTATCCCATGGGGGTCTGGGGGACTCTCAGTCACTGGGGTCACAAGAGTAGGCAGCTAAATGTGGCCTGGCCAGAGACAGCACTCATTCCTGCTTCCCACCTGTGAGACAAGGTGTATGTGGCCAAGGAGAGGCCTTCCATGAGACTCAGAAGGTGAGGAGAGGCAGAGAAATGGCTTCTCTCACCTGTCAATCCCGACTGATAAGGGCACTGACTGTGGCTGCTGCAGCCATCTTTCCCAACACAGAACAAGGGCCTAGGAAGGAAGCCAGCACTCCCAGGAAAGCCAGGAGAGAGAGAGACACATGAAGCCCTGGAGACCCCTTGAACCCCTAAATCCAGCTGTCCTTTGAAATTCCCAGTTCCAAGAGCCAATACTGTTTCCATTCGGGGAAGCTGCTGGAGCTGTTTCTGAACTTGCAACAGGAAGAGTCCCCACTAATATGAGACGGTGGCAATCAACAAACATGGCAGAGTAGAAGTGAAAGGACCTGCCTTCTAGAAGCAGGCAGCTGGCTGTGAGCTGACGAGATGCACTATAAGCATATGAACAGATGAGAATAGTCAACACTGAAACTAGGAGAGTTTCTGATTCACTACCGTGTATGACTGACTATCTGCCACACAAGTTGCTGAACTCAAAGTCTACACCCACTTGCTTAGTTACCTTCGTGCACCTTATCTGGCTGAATCAACACTCTGTGTAGAAATCGATCCGGAAGAGGCTTGGAGGAGGGTTATGGGGAGGAGGAAGACAGGCTCCCCACCTTGAGAAGAAACCTGTCCCCCACTTCCCACTGCACTCCATGTAGAGAGGCTATGGACCATCTCCCCCAGAAAATGTGCCTAGGCATATAAAACCTCACATTCTTGTACACAATTTGAGGGGGATCACAGACCCCTCAAACCTATCCCAGGACTTCCCTAGAAAGCCAGGAACTCCCTATTGAGAACTTTCTTCTACTGAAACCCAACTCTGAAGGACGGCAGCTGGAACACAGTGGTGGTGTCAGACTAGGCTGGCTTTCCCCAATCCTCTCCAGGGAACTGGTGTCACATGTGCTCTCCATGAACCACTCGGTGGACTTCAGGGAGGCCACACTCTCCTGGTCTCCTGCCCACTGCTCTGCCTGTCACTTGAGAGAGGGAGAGAAAGGGAGACCCCAGCTTTGTCTGCCTAGCAGTCCCCCTGTGGGAATGGACCTTCCCATCCTCACTCAGAGGTCACTCCACAGAACCCTCCCCTCCCCTCCACTGGCCACAGCTGTCCCAAGCTGGGTCAGCCACAGTTCCTTCCCTGGGGATGCTGGAACTGAGACCAGCAGGAAGGCATGGTTGTGTTTAGTGGCTGTGCTGCATCTCACCACAGGGCCAGCAAGCAGAGAAGCAGGGTCCTAGTTAGAAAAGCAAAAGACAGGAGGGAGACAGGAAGGGAGGCAGAGGGCATGCCAGTGAGGAGCAGTAAGTCCCAGTTCCCACCACTTCCGGAGGCCCTGCGGCGCTCCTGCTCTTGGGTTCTAGGACAGCACCCGCACCTTCTCAGTCTATCTACATTGCACGGAAACTACTTCAACAGGTTGGGTATGCTCCAAGTTCACGTCTTTCCTGGATCTTCATTTCCCTTGCAAAACTCAGCAACTCATTCTTGGGTTTCAAGTAATAATGCTGTATTTGTTTGGTTTCCTTTTTTTTTTTTTTGAGATGGAGTCTCGCTCTGTCGCCCAGGCTGGAGTGCAGTGGCACAATCTCAGCTCACTGCAACCTCCATCTCCCGGGTTCAAGGGATTCTCCTGCCTCAGCCTCTCTAGCAACTGGGATTATAAGTACACACTACCACGCCTGGCTAGTTTTTGCATTTTTAGTAGAGACAGGGTTTCACCATGTTGGCCAGGCTGGTCTTGAACTCCTGACCTCAAGTGATCCGCCCACCTCAGCCTCCCACGTGCTGGGTTTACAGGCATCATAATGCTCTGTTAATAAAATAATTGTCAGGTCTCTATTCCCAACTTCTTGCTCGCCTTTCCTTTCCCACACGGAACATTTTGCTATTATTTCAAACTTAACACATCTAAGAACTGAACATATCCTGTCCTCCTAAAATTGGTTTGTGTTTGAGGGAAATTATCTAAAGACTTGAGTAGTGGCTGCATATTACAATCACCTGGACACTTTAAAAAAATACTGATCCAAGCCGGGCACACTGGCTCATGCCTGTAATCCCATCACTTTGGGAGGCCAAGGTGAGAGAATCACCTGAGCCCAGGAGTTCAAGACCAGCCTGGGCAACATAGTGAAACCGTGTCTCTACAAAAAAATTATTTAAAAATTAGCCAGGTGTGGTGGAGCACACCTGTAGTCCCAGCTACTGAGGAGGCAGAGGACGGGAGGATCACTTGAGTCCAGGTCGAGACTGCAGTGAGCTACGATTGTGCCACTGCACTCCAGCCTAGGCAATAGAGCAAGACCCTGTCTCAAAAACATAAATAAAAAGAAAATACTGATCCAAGGCTTCAGAGAACAACTGAATCAGAATCTCTGGGTGTGGTCTAGGCCTTTGAAAGTTCCCCAGATGGTTCTATGTGCAGCCTTGTGGAGAATCATTGGCCAGTCCAAGGACCGGCACTGTCATTCTCTAATCCCAGCTCACAGCAAACAGACATCATTGATCAATTTCTTTCCTCCAGAGCAAAGCAGCAGCCCCCAGAATCCTTTTCACCATGGCCACCAAGCAATTGATCAGACTTGGCATGAGAGATGAAACTTACCAGCTAACCTGGACTAGATGGAAATGGTACTAGGACCTACTATCTTCTATTTTAGAATCCAGCCTACAAGAAAATGCTTGGATTAAGTGTGGCCCACGCCTCCATCAGGCTCAAACAAATGTTTGTTTTCTTAGGTCTGAGTTTAATGAGTTGCCAATGAGAAAACCTTTTCATTTGGCTTACGATTCTAGGGACTTGGTTTTTGATTTTACAAATTGACTCTTGCTCCTACTATGAAAAGGAAGGGGGTGGGGTGGGAAGCATTTGTATGTGTTCCCTCTTTTCCTCCCTGATTAACCCCAAAAGAGCTTTCAAATAATCTGCTAAGTATTGAAATACTGAAGTCATAAGCAAGTTGCAAAAAATCGGCTTACTAGAACAGGAAACATTCTTTTGCTTTTCAAAGGCTTTCCCATCATCTGGAGCCAAAAATATTATCTTCTGACCCAAAAAGCCACTAATAAACCCTGTTTCTATAGGCTAAGCAAGAGGGAAGATTTTGCCCTGAGCAAAACGGCAAAGAGGGCAAGACTGTTCTCTGGGTCCTCCCACCCTCACTTCTGCCCCCTCTCCTACCTCCTGCCACCCTCCACTTCCAGGTATCTCCCAACTGCCCTCTGGCTGCCTAGTGTCTTACAAGCTGCCCCCACTCCCATGGGCTCCCTTTCTCCCTAAGAGTACCCCGTCCCCATGTTAAAACCCCCTTCTTTCCCCTCCAAACTCCTTCCAAATCTCAGCTATTAGGGACAACCTCTAAGCAGCACAGTCTCAGCATCCACCCTCTCTTTGTAATCCTGTTTATGCACAGAATGCTGTGTTTCCTTTCTATCTAGTTAGGAGTTTCGGAAGTGAGAAAGGCTGCCTTATGGAGACACACAGAGAGCTAGCGACAGAACCCCCTGTATAACCTGGGGCCATTTGCTCCCCTGATGCGCCAGTAAAAAGTTAGATCAACAGTACTGTATTTTTTTGCTACTGATCCATTGAAAAGCTAAAAAAAAAAAAAAAAAGTTAAAACAGTAAGCTTCAGTTATGAAGACAATTTACTTGTGTGAGCCTTGTTTCCCTAAATGCAAGATTAATAAAAATGAGAGATGTCATGTACTATATTTAAATTTAAAAACATGAGGTTGTTGTCCAAAAGTAACCTCTAAATGGCAGTGGGTAGGGGGGTATGATGGCATATTTTTGAACCCTTCATCAACTCCCTGCCTCAAAAGACTTTAACGCACTATCCCACTGAAAATCTTAAAGAGAACAATAAAGGGGCTCCTTTTCTGAAGTTTGCTGAACTAACCCAGGCTTCTGTGGCTTACTTCTAAGGGCTTCAAACACAACAGGAGGTGAGCAGCCTCCCTGCTCTCCAAACAGCCACACACCTCTGCCTATAAAACAAGAAGGCTCATCACCTCCCTCCCTCGGGACTCTTAGCAGGCCTCATCAGCCACCAACAACCACATTTGTTATTTATAATACCGAATAGCATGCCACGTCTGCAGGGACAGAGCCCAGGAGCACAGAGGTGATGTTTTTAAAATGCGATACAATTGTGGGTGGAAGAACGCCAATAGTGATCTCCTTCTCAAGATACCAGAATAAGAGATGGACAAGACAACCTAGAGGCCACGAACCCATCCCTGTTCACCAAGGTTTTCCCACCCTTGCTGGCTGCTCCTCCCCTGCCTGTGCCCTCTATGCTGGAGCCCCTCCAGCTCTGGCCTAGGTCCTCTTCTCATCTCCCTCCACATTCTCTCCTTAGGAGACCCTGTCCCCTGCCGTGGCTTCAAATGACATCGTATCAACTCCCACATGCTGGTCAACACTCAGCCCATGCACTCCTCCTGCTAGAGACCTTGTAAATCCACCGGCTTTTTTGACAGAACCACCCAGACATGTTAAAGTATCTGTTTAAAACTGAACTTGGCATGTTCCTTCCCTGCACCCACCCTAAGCCTGTTCCTTCACCATAGTTCTCCACTGCATCAATAGGTTCCACATTGTATCAGTAATTCCCCATCATCCTCCCAGCTACAGAAGCAGCATCTCCAGGAACAGTGATATCCAAGATATATGGATCTCCAGAACATATTGCGTATGTTAAGTGAAAAAAGAAAGTTGCAAAACTGTGTTTAATAGTATGCTATCTTTTATTTAATGAAGGGGGGAATATAAATATATATGTACACACCATACACATATATATGCATTTGTTACTGTTTTCAAAAAGAAACAAAGGAAAGATAAACTAATAACAACTGTTAACTATGTGGGAAGGAAGGGAATAGGGTGGAGGAGAATGAGATTAAAGGAAACTTCTGTAAATGTACCTTGTTATATAGTTTTGACTTTGAGAAATATTGTATATAAATGTTTTATATAATTAAAACAACAAATTAAATCAAAATTTTAAAAATCTCTAAAAATTAAAAACAGATTGAAGCAAATTAACCAAACTATATCTCATGATGGGAGACCTACACAGAGAAAAATAGTTACTAAACACAACATTTTGACCTTGTATCTCCACAAAGACATATTTTAAGGCCAAAAAAGAATCACAAAGAAGTCTTAAATTTCATTCTGAGTCTTAGTAGTAAAAAATATAGTTATTTTAAAAGTGTAACTGGTATATTGTAGATGAGCAGAATAAAGTTAATATAAATTGCTAATCTTAGAGAAGCATGCTTGCAAGGTTGGCCCTTGACTGGCATCTGGGAACTTGGATTCCAGGTGGTTCTCACAATTCCCAGAAATGATAAGAGTGGCTCACCACGCCTATACTGTGTAAACAATAAGGTTCATGCTGAACACCTGCTTGCTTTCTGGAAGTCTGGAATTTTGGTACATGCTAGGCCAAGGGTGCTTCTGTAACCAGTCCTCAGTAAGAGATGTGGGCACTGAGTCTCTAACTCACTTCCCTGCTAGATAACACTTCACACACATTGCCACAAATCCTTCCTGTGGGTATCCAATGGGAGAGCACTCAGACGCCTGCGCCTGTTTCCTCCAGTCTCTGCCCCATGTACCTTTTCCCTGTGCCGCCATACCTGGTATCCTTTCACTGCCACAGCTGAGAGTCCTAGTGCATCACTGAACCTGGGGTGGTCCTGGGGACCTCAGATTCAGTAGGATCTAGCAGATACATCATTTTGTTAATGTTATTGAGAACAAGATTTCCAGCATAAGATAAAGAGTTACAAGACACTAGTATAAAATCAAATAAATAGAAACACTATCACCTTACATTTGAATTGGAAATACCAGTATGAACTCACAACTTTTTCATTTCTTAAAAAATGTTTATTTTCTATTTCTGTTTATTGAAAGGCCTAGATGCAATCACAGCTCAGTAGCACTGAAAACTTCTAATGTCCCAACTGTAGCCTCTAGATACTATTTTCTAGCTAAAAAGAACCAGAGCATTTTAGAGAAATGACTGATTCCAAGACTGGGGCAGGAAATGTACAAAATGAGCCTGGGGCCAGGCGCAGTGGCTCATGCCTATAATTCCAGCACTTTGGGAGCTCAAGGCAAGTGGATGGCTTGAGCCCAAGAGTTTGTGACCAGCCTGGGCAACATGGCAAAACCGTGTCTCTACTAAAAATACAAAAATTAGCCAGCCATGGTGGCACACCTGTAGTCCCAGCTACTTGGGAGGCTGAAGCAGGAGAATTGCTTGAACTTGGGAGACAGAGATTGCAGTGAGCTGTGATTGTGCCACTGCACTCCAGCCTGGGCAACAGACAAGACCCTGTCTCGCACACACACAAAAAAGAGCCTGTGACATCTTATTGAACCATGAAGCAAGGAAGCTATCAAAGACTAATGAAGTATGACAAAGAACAAAGACATCAACTTAAAGGGGCTCCCACTGAACATAAAAAACAAATTAATGGCAGATAAGTGCCCTCAAAAAAAAAAAACTAAAACATATTAAATATATTAAAAATATGTTCAGAATGCTATGAAAACCAAAGCTTCATTGGTCATCATTGGAAGTTGCTAGAGTCTGAACTCACAACTTTGAAAATTGATAAATAAAGGGAAAGAACCAAGCATTTTTCCTGCTTTTCATTATGAAGAGCAATTCAGAGTAATCATACAAGTGATAAGGAAAAGGTCTTTGTTAAAGAATTCCAGCTAACAGATGCAGAAGGAAATAATGGATCTAAGCAACGACCATCAATGGATGCTAAAACCGCTTAGGTGAAAGACTGACCGGATTTTTATAATGGAGGGATCAGCTGATACCACCTAAACCCACCGATCAATCCAAGAATCTCTAAATGTGCAGCAGCCAGACACCACCTGCTTGTTGATGCCACACAGTAGGGAGTACATAGCACCAGCTCTGAGGTATTCGTACCCAATAACCTGACTGGAATGGAATCAGGCCTCTACATGGAACTCCTGTTGACAGGAAACACAGGGAACAGAGAAACACGTTAAATGACACCACAGAGAAGCAATAGCCAATTCCTGGGATGTAGGTATCCCACATGACAAACGACCTGCTTTCTCCAATAAATCAATGTCACGAGCAAATGGGAGTGGGCAAGAAAGTGGGTAGAAGGAGGGTGTATAGTTATAAAGATACTTACAGAAGAAGAGTCAAAACAACAACAAAAAAGCCAATTTGACCATGTCATTCTCACACTTAAAACCCTCTGGCCCCTGCCCACACCTCTGGCTGCACCACTCATCATGCCCCCTCTGTGCTCTGGCCACAGTCACCTTCATTCAGTTCCTTGAATTAGCCCCTTCCTTTATTGAGTCCCTTGCACGTGCAGTGCCCTCTCCCTGGAATGTTGTCCTCGCCCCTTGCCCACTTTCACCTGGCAGAAGCCTGCTCATTCCTTCAGTCTCAGCTCAAACACTGCCTCCTCGGCAGGGCCCACAGCCCAGGGTAAGATCAGGTCTCTCTCCCCCTTGTTATATAGCCTCACTGGACTCTGTACTTCTCATGGGAGCACATGGAGGTATGTTTTTGTTATCTGCCTTCCTCCCAAGGACTAGATGCTCCTCAGGTGCAGACACTACATCTTCAGCAGAGTCTGAAATGTAGTAGGCACTAAATAAAAATCTCCTTAATGGGTACATGAACAAATAAAGTATTAGCTATGTGGTTCAACCCACCAGGTGGAAATTCAGAGGCACACTAAATCAAAAAGGCCCAATGTAGACCCTGCTGATCTCAGTTGTGGTGGCACCTACTGTTAGTACTCAGAACCCAGCCTGGCACTCAGAGGAGCTGAGGCTCCCAGGGAAAAACTCACCGCCTCGTGGGACTTGGGAATGGGTACGATGATGGCCAGCACACAGATGAGCTGGAAGATGGCTCCCAGGAAGAGTCCGTACCGTAGCAGGTTCTCCAGGAAAGTGGGCTCGGGCACCTCCGGAGGTGAGAAGTCTAGGTCAGAGGCCATGGCCCAAGTCGCTTGCTGCCTGACGTCTCTTCTGACTCACCACTCTTTAGAACCAACTTGTAAATGCAAAGGGTCAGTGTCATATTTCTGTAACTGACATTTATTTATTTATTTATTTATTTATTTATGAGATGGAGTCTCACTCTGTCGCCCAGGCTGGAGTGCAATGGCATGATCACTGCAACTTCGGCCTCCTGGGTTCAAGTGATTCTCTTGCCTTGGCCTCCCGAGTAGCTGGGATTACAGGTGTGGGCCAACACACCTGGATGATTTTTGTATTTTTAGTAGAGACAGGGTTTCACCACGTTGGCCACGCTGGTCTTGAACTCCTGACCTCAGGTGATCTGCCCGCCTCAGCCTCCCAAAGTGCTGGGATTGCAGGTGTGAGCCACCTCACCCAGCCTGTAACTGACTTTTAACTTGAACACACACACACACACCCAAGAATATATACAGGAATTGTGAAATGTTAACAACTCTTGAATCTAAGTTGGGAACATATGGTCAGTCAATGAACCATTCTTTCAACTTTTCTGTGTATCTGATGTTTTCCAAACATAAAGTTGAGAAAAATAAATAAATGCAAAGGGAAGCACTTCAACAAAAATCTCAAATCAACATACATTTACTAAAGGCTGCTACGTTTCAGGTTTTGTTGTTTATTTATTCATGTAGTCATCCATTCAACAAATATTTCTTGAATACCAAGCACTGAAGAATGAGCAAAACAGACAAACCCCTGCTTTCTTGGAGCCTCTACATGCTCAGGATGGAAGCAGACAATGAACACGTCGAGATGTGATATGCCAGGTAGTGATAAGCATTTTGGAAAAAACTTAAGGGCATCATTTTATTTTGTGATGAGAAGGCTCTCTCTGAAGAACAGAGACGGGAATGGAGTGGAAGAGATAAGAAGTGAGAGAGGGAGCCATTTGTGTATCTGAGGGAAACACGTTCCAGGCAGGGAAAAAAGCAAGTGTGGAGGCCCCAGGGTGGGGAAATGAGGCCAGTACAGGCAGAGAAGTGATCAGGAGGGAGGGTGGAAGGAGGTATGATCAGAGAGGAGTGGGGGCGGACCCTGATACCTCCAATTTGATTGAGTAAAATGTAAAGCCACTGAAGGGTTTTGAGCAGAAAAGTGACATGATCTGACTTCCATTTTTAAATGGAGGAGGGACAACAAGGGGAGAGGCAAAGTGGACACAGGGAGAGCCAGGAGGAGGCCCCTGCCAATAAGCCAGACAAGAGCTGCTGATGGCGTGAATGACAGGGGCAGTGGTGGCCAGTGGTGCAAGGTCCAGCCTCAGCCCAGCTCTCCAGCCTCTCCTCTCAGCAGGGCCCCCACTCCTAATATCCTAGTCAAGCTGAAAGAACTGCTGTGGTTCTCCAAGAGCACTGGGCTCTTTCAAAATCCTGGGCCTCTGCCCAAGCTGCATACTCTGCAAAGAATGTCCTTTCCCACTGTGACTGCTTGACAAAGCCCCCACTCTGCCTCTAAGGCTGAGCTCAAGTGTCATCTCCCCAACATGCCTCTCCTGTCACCCTCCTCTTCCCCTGGCATGACTGAACTGCTCCCCCTTTACCACAGCACCCATCAGTGGCTTTCTTCTGCCCATCCCAATGATAAAGGGGCAAATTTACTTTGGAACCAGGCCCACTTGAATCTAAAACCCTTTGTGTTTCCAGAGATCTGTGCCACAATGCAATATTTTGCTAAGTCTGAGCTATCCAATATGGTGGCCATGAGCCACACATGACTATTAAGACTTGAAACGCAGCTAGTTTGAATTGAGATGCTAATTACACACCCATTTTCAAAGACCTAGTATGAAAATAAGAATGTAATCTATCTCATTCATAATGTTTTCATATTGATTACATGCTGAAACGATTGCAGTGGCTCACGCCTATAATCTCAGCACTTTGGGAGGCCACGGTGGGCAGATCACTTGAGCTCAGGAGTTTGAGACCAGCCTGGACAACACAGCGAGACCCCATCTCTACAAAAAAAATAATAAATTAGGCAGGAGTGGTGGCTCACTCCTGTATTCCCAGCTACTCGAGAGGCTGAGGTGGGAGGATCACTTGAGCCCAGGAGCTTAAGGCAGTGAGCCACGATCACGCCACTGCACTCCAGCCTGGGTGACAGAGCGAGACCCTGCCCCCACCCGACCCTGCCCCCACCCCACCCTGCCACCAAAAAATACACGTAAAAAATAATTGGCTGGGCATGGTGGGTTACGCCCAAAGTGTAAGCCCAACACTTTGACAGGCCAAGGCAGAAGCATCACTTGAACCCAGGAGTTTGAAACCAGCCTGGGCAACAGAGTGGGACCCTGTTGCTATAAAAAATTTAAAAATTAGCCGGACATGGTGGTACACACCTGTAGTCCCAGCTACTCAGAAGGCTGAGGCAGGAGAATTGCTCCAGCTGGGAGGTCTAGGCTGCAGTGAGCCAATGAGTCGTGATTGCGCCACCCTGAGTGACGGGGTGAGAGATCCTGTTTAAAAAAAAAAAAAAATTGAATTGAAAGCAAGGACTCAAGATACTAATGTTCATAGCAGCATTATTCACAATAGCCAAAAGATGGAAACAACTAAGAGTCCATAAACAGATGAATGGATAAGCAAAACGTAGTATATACATACAATGGAGTATTACTCAGCCATAAAGGAAATGAAATTCTGATACATGCTACAACATGAATGAACCTTGAAAACATTATGAGCTTTGAATAAATATATATGAAATAAGCTAGACACAAAAGGACAAATATTGTATGAGTCCCCTTATATGAGGTACCTGGAATAGGCAAATTCAGAGACAGAAAGTAGAATTGAGGTTACCAAGGGCTGGAGGGAAGGGAAATGGGGAGATATTGTTTACTGGGTACAGAGTTTCAGTTTGCAAAGATGAAAAAGTTCTAGAAATAGACAGTGATGACGGTTATACAACACTGCAAATACCACTGAATTGTAAACTTAACAATGGTTAAAATGGTAAATTTGTTACATATATTTTGTCACAATTTTTTAAAAATCTGTTTCTTTTTACCCATTTATTTATTTATTTATTTAGAGACAGGGTCTCACTCTGTCACCCAGGCTGGAGTACAATGGCACAAACATAACTCACTGTAGCCTCAAACTCTTATGCTCAAGTGATCCTCCTGCCTCAGCCTCCCAAAGTGTTGAGATTACAGGCATCATCCCTTTTTGCTTTTTAAATGTGGCTACTGGAAAATGTAAAATTATACATAGTCTGTATTATATTTCTGTGGGGAAGCCCTGGGGTAGAGACAATCCTAAAGACCTGCCTCACAGGGCGCAGTGGCTCACGCCTGTAATCCCAGCACTTTGGGAGGCTGAGGTGGGCAGATCACCTGAGGTCAGGAGTTTGAGACCAGCCTGACCAACATGGAGAAACCCCGTCTCTAATAAAAATACAAAAAAATTAGCCGGACATGGTGGCAGGTGCCTGTAATCCCAGCTACTTGGGAGGCTGAGGCAAGAGAATCGCTTGAACTCGGGAGACGGAGGTTGCAGTGGGCCGAGATCACGCCACTGCACTCCAGCCTGGGCAACAAGAGTGAAACTCCATCTCAAAAAAAAAAAAAGGCCTGCCGCCACCTTGGCTCTGCTGCTTCACTGCTTTGCACCATGTTTCCAACATGAAGTAACCGAAGAATAATAAAAACAACCTTCGTAAGTAAACAGAGCCGGACTTACACACGAGTATTGCTTCCCTTTCAGCCTGGTCACTTCAGAAGGTCATGTGCCTGGGGCAACAGGATGGCCACTTTTCACATCAGCTCTGTCTACCATGGGAATGGCCTTCAAAGCTTGAGGCTCTTTTTCTTCCCAGCCAGAATCCTCAGAGCTGGCAGATCTTCATCCTCCCAGGAAGGATTTGACTTCTGGAAAGAGCCCAACATCATCTGGTTCCAAGTGCAGTGAATCAGGTGGCACTGAGCTCAGGAATACCATTTTTGGTCAAATACAAGGTATGATGCTCAGACTCCAAGCAGATTACTTGGGGTGGCTCATAAACTGGCCCTGAAGTGAATTCCAAGGCGGCTGCAAGAACAGCTTCACTGGAAGAAATGTAACAGCCTCTACCAGCACCACCACCATGTGAATACCAAAGCTTAAGAACGCGTCCTCATTTCTCCGCAGTTGCACCTCATAAAGTGTGCATTTTTTAAAACGCCCTTGGCCCCAAGCTTTTTGCTTAAGGCTGTAACAAGCTTTATGAGCTTATAAATACTCAGATTTACTAGTGTTACTACTAACAGCAACATTGTGATAAGAAATATTTGGAGTGGTACAATAGAAAGATAGGGCAAGAGTTGGGAAGCAGAGGACAAAAGCCCCTGCTCTATCTGCAAGTAGCTACACTTTGGGCTAATAATCTCTTGACCTCTGGAGACGGGATGTTCTCATGAGCCAAGCAACAATGATACCTATAATACATTTAGGCCTTTTTTTAAAAAATGGCAATTAGACAAAATATAACAAGAGCCATAAAAGTGATTATATCCTTTGACTGAATAACTTACTTCCTAGAATTTATAGTAAGGAAACAATTCAAAAGAAGAAAAAGCCTTCAGGTACAAAAAAGTTCATGGCAGCACTATTCATAATACTGAAAAACAGGAAGCAACCCAGGCGTCCAACAATCAGGAAGCAGTTAACCCAGTGATGGTACATCATGGCATAATCCCTCTTCACTAACCCGGCAAATATAAACATTGTGTATCAGGTCAGTGGAAAGTCTTTGCAAAGTAACAGTAATTGAAAAAAATAAGCAATTGTATAAACACTATGATTGGAACCATCTATAAGCTGATTTCATGGGCTAAAGATCAAAAGATGCTACAGAAACATAAATAGTTGCTGTTAAGGTGAATAAGTCATGAGTTTTAATTTTTTGGAATGTTATGAAACAATAAAGTATCTAAGAAAAATCTATGCCCTACCTACTTCCTTCACAAGACTTTTGTTAGGGTATAATGTCATACTGTCCAATAAAGCTTTCTGCAGTGATGGAAATGTTCTGTATTTGTGTTCTCCAAATGGTAGCCACCAGCCACATGTGGCTGTTGAAAACTTAAATGTTACAGAGAAACTGAATTTTTCATTTTATTTAACTAATTAACAATAAAAAGCCACATGTGGCCAAAGGTTCCCTACTGGACAGCACAGGTGTAACAGGAGGGTGGTTGTGAAAAGGTTCTGGAAACATAAACTGCTCTACACACACTGTGCGCCGTACGGCTCTCATCTAGTTCTCTCTGCACCTCTGTGCTTTACTTCCCAGCCCTCCTGCCAGTATTTCTGGGCTTTCCTTTCCTGATGACCAAAGTCAAACAAGTCCTATTCATCCTGCAGATCTCAACTAGGAGACACCCCTTCGACTGGCTGTGACAGGTTTTGTTCCCTGGCCATTGTTCCAGCAGCAGCAGCAGTCGGCAAATGAACGGCCAGGTGTTGCGAACAGCACTTTACAGGCAGCAACTCGCATACTTCACCACCACACTGGGAGGTGGTATTACTAATGAGGATGAGGAAACCAAGGCTTGGAGAGGTTATATGACCTACCCAGGGATAACCTGGCTGATAAGTGGCAAAGGCAAGATTCAAAGGGGCTGGCTTCCCCAGAGTCAGGGCGCTTACCCAGTATGTCAATCGTTTTCAAACTGCAGGCTGTGGCCCATTAGTGAGCCAGGAAAACCATTTAGGGGGCTGCAACCAGCATTTTTTATTAGCCAGCACTTTATTTAAGTAGGTAAATAACAATAGAAAATATCAAAGAGTATCACATTAAGGGCCGGTATTATATCCTGAAGCTTTTTCAACATCCATCTACATCTGAGCATGCATGTGCTGGATCAAATTTTAGAATGTTATTTCTTATTGTTTGAGAAATATTACACTGGAATCTACTGTTTTCTATTTGATCCATTGTAATCTCTTGAACAGCAAGGATCTTGGGTACATCTTGAGTTTATTCCAGGTCCTGACTCATAAATATTTGGTAAATGACTAAGCCTATGCCTCTGTTTCCCACCTCGAAAGCAAGAGCAGATGCCTCAACCAACAGAGTCATCATTTAACGACAAGGAGGAGCTGAGAGGCCACGAGGTTTCCCTAGACTCTCCTGATGAGTCAGGGCAGAGCTGCTATCCTGGTCTCTAGCCCTGTCCTGCTCCAGACTTGCTTACAGGTAGAGGTTTTTATACACCAGGGGACTTTCATACCCCATCAGAATTTAACAAAAGGTGCATAATTAATTATTACTGAACGTGGCAAATAATTTCATGAGGTTACTGGACACTGCGAAGTTCACCCCTGAATGCCAGACACTGGTGACGTAAGACATTAATTCATTGGACAAATATTTATTGTGAATCTACTATGTGCCAGGCACTGGTCTAATCCCTGCCACGGAGTTTCCATTCAGTTAGAAGTACTCACATACACACATACACATGCAATGTCAGGGGTGAGTATTACAATACATACAGGAAGGAAGAAGAGGATAGTACTATTTAATATGAGGTGGTCGGGGAAGGGCCTCTCTGCAAAGGTGACATTTCAACAGAGGAAAGAAGAAAGCAAAGGAAGAAGTCATTTAAACATCTGCCAGAGTATCCCAGGATGGAGGGACGGCAAGGGCCAAGTCCCTGAGGCAGGAATAAGCATCATGATCAAGAACAGTCAAGTAAGCAAGCTGCAGGCCATTATGAGGACTCTGGCCAGTCTCTGAGTGAAAAGGGAACTACTGGAAGGTTCTTAGCAAAGAAATCACATGGTCTCACTCATTTCAAAATGATCCCTCTGGCTGCTTTGTTGACAACAGACTGTAGGGGACAAGACTGAAAGCAAGGAGACCAGTGAAGAGGCTACTTTAACAGTCAAAAGACACATTTGCACCAGGGTGGTAGCTGTGGAGGTGGTAAATTCTCAGCTTACAGATATATTTTGGTGAAGGCCAACAGGAATGCTGAGGTGAAATCTGAAAGAAGTTAAAAATAATCCCTGAAGAAGGGGAAACTATCCTGTATGACACTATAATTAGGAATACAAAATATTAAGCATTTGTCAAAACCCAAAAATCTTGACAGCACAAAGAGTAAAGTTTAATGTATGCAAATATTTTTAAAAAGACATAGGAAGGCCATCACAGTGGCTCACACCCATAATCCCAGAACTGTGAGAGGCCAAGGCAGGAGGATTGCTTGAGCCCGGCAGTTTGCGACCAGCTTGGGCAACATAGTGAGACCCAGTTTTTAAAACACACCAACATACACACGCATGAAGTCAGGGTGTTCCAGGATGGAATGCAGAATGTGACATTCTGAATCCAAATGTATTAAACAACTTCACTGAAAGGGTAGTGGGGGAATAGGGTGCTGACCTAAGTAACTTTGAAAACGAGTGGAGCCTGTAAGACTGAAGGCAAAAGGAACTGCACGTACACACTGTACTCTAGCTGATAAGTTGTTTCCCACAGGGGATCGGGGGAGCAATTCTAAAACCACCATACATGTATGCTAAATGGAACAATTAAGTAAATGTATGGTGAATGGTGGGAGTCGGGTTTGTCACAGGTGGAGTGGGAGGTTACAGACAAGCAAGAGAAGGAAGCTAGAACACAGGTCCCCAACCCCCAGGCCACAGACCAGTACCAGTCCATGGCCTGTTAGGAACCAGGCCGCACAGCAGGAGGTGAGCAGCAGGTGAGCAAGCGAAGTTTCTTTTATATTTACAGCCGCTCCCCATCACTCACATTACCGTCTGAGTTCCACCTCCTATCAGATCAGCGGCTGCATTAGATTCTCATAGAAACACGAACCCTATTGTGAACTGTGCATGTGAGGGATCTAGGCTGTGTGCTCCTTATGAGAATCTAATGCCTGATGATCTGTCACTGTCTCCCATCACCCCCAGACGGGACTGTCTAGTTGTAGGAAAACAAGCTCAGGGCTCCCACTGATTCTACATTATGGTGAGTTGTATGATCATTCCATTATATATTACAATGTAATAGTAACAGAAATAAAGTGCACAATAAATGTAATGCACTTGAATCATCCCAAAACCATCCCCACCCCCAGGTCTGTGGAAAAATTGTCTTCCATGAAACCGGTCCCTGGTGCCAAAAAGGTTGGGGACTGCCAAGCTAGAACAATCCATGCAGTCATGGATAAGAGTTGGACATCAGTTATGTTTAGCTGAACGTAGATACAGGTGGTTATATATGGAAATACTTCTAGATCTGTGCATATATACGTATGTCTCTTACTCTGTCCACTGCGAAGGCCTAGAAGCAAGGACACTGAGAAGCACTGAGCATACCTAGAGCCCAGATCTTGTTTTCTGGGCCATTCTCCAATAAAAGGAGCCAGGGCTCCTTGGGAAATGGCTAATTCTAGGACTGGGGCAGAAACATACCAGATGAGTCTGGAATAGAAAGAAAGTGCTCAACAAAACAAAACAAAGCAAAACATATAGAGGGGGATATGTCAAAGGGATACAGGAGCCAAGTGGAAGAGCTCCCAATGGCCAATGGAGGAACAATTTCAGCAACAAAATAAAGTAGTACTGGATTCTGGTCCAAAGTATAAAATAAACATCCATGAGTTCAGGCCCGGCATGGTGGCTCACGCCTGTAATCCCAGGAGAGGGGATTCCTGTAATCAGGAGGCCAAGGCAGGTGGATCACCTGAGGTCAAGAGTTCAAGACCAGCCTGGCCAACATGGTGAAACTCTCTCTACTAAAAATACAAAAATTAGCCAGCCATGGTGGTAGGTGCCTGTAATCCCAGCTACTCAGGAGGCTGAGGCAGGAGAATCACTTAAACCCGGGAGGTGGAGGTTGCAGTGAGCCAAGACTGCACCACTGCACTCCAGCCTGGGCGACAGCGGGAGACCCTGTCTCAAAACAAAACAAATCCATGAGTTCACACCGATACAAATATATGACTCTGTAAGCAAAAAATAGGGGAACAGACAAATTTCCCACAGAGAACTCCAAATAATTTGCATTATATACTCTGCCTTTAAGCATGGGGCATAATTCCACACTCCTTAAATGTGTGCTGTACATAATGACTTTCTCCAAAAGTACAGTGCGGAAAGTGCAGGAGGAAAAGTAACTCTACACTGGAAAAGCCTGACTACTACCTCAAGCCAGGTGGCTCAAGCTAACAGATGTCAACAATGATAACTCATATCGATAGTATGTACCCTTGATATGATGTGATGAGAATAGCACTTTACTTCTGTGGTTGGATTAGTCCATTTTCATACCACTTTGAAGAAATACCCGAGACTGGGTAATTAATAAAGAAAAAGAGGTTTAACGGACTCACGGTTCCACATGGGTGGGTAGGCCTCACAATCACGGCAAAAGGCAAAGGGGAGGCAAGGGCATGTCTTATGTGACAGCAGGCAAGAGAGTGTGTGCAGGGGAACTGCCCTTTATAAAACCATCAGATCTCCTGAGACTTATTCACTATCAGGAGAATAGCATGGGAAAGACCCACCCCCATGATTCAATTGTCTCCCACCAGGACCCTCCCACAACATGGGGGGATTATGGGAGCTACAATTCAAGATGAGATTTGGGTGGGGACACAGCCGAACCCTATCAGTGGTCCTCCTCCCCAAAAACCCATTACCCTGATCTTACTCATGTCAAAAACAGGCAAATCCTAATTAAAGGTCCTTCTGCAAAATATCTGACCAGTCAGTACTATCTTCAAAACCCTCAAGTTCATCTAAAACAAGGGAAGTCTGAGAAACGATCACAGAGATGATGAGCCTAAAGAGATATGATGACTAAATGTAATAGGGTGCCCTGGATAATACCAGGACAGAAAAAGGACATTAGGGAAAAACTAAGGAAATGTGAATAAAGTACAGATTAGAGTTAATAATAATGTATCAATATTGGTTCAGTAATTGTGACATTTCAGATATTAGTAATAGGGGAAACGTGGGCTATATGGGCACTCACTGAAGTATCTTTGCGATAACTTTGTAAATCTAAAATTATTCTAAAACAAAAAGGTTATTGGGGAAAAAAAGAATGGGTCAACATTTCAAAACAAATAAATAAAAAACCACTGAGACAAGTATAGCTCTCAAGACTTAGCAAATACTAAATCTTCTCTTAAGACTGAAAAACTCAGATTTCACGACTGCCACAGGCCTTCATCTCCCAATGTTGTGTACTGTGCTGGTAGGCCATTCTTGGCTTCTAATGAAGTAACTTTAAATTCTATTGTGAAAATTCAGCTGAAAACAGACTGGGGAATAGAAACCAGTGTCAGAAGTTACTGTTTTAGGCCAGGCACAGTGGCTCTTGCCAGTAATCCCAAACACTTTGGGAGGTCCAGGAGGAAGGATATCTTGCCTCCAGGAGTTCAAGACCAGGCAGGAAAACATAGTGAGACTCCATCTCTATTTCAACTTTTTTTTAATTAAAAAGAAAAAAAAGCCGGGTGTGGTGGCTCCCGCCTATAATCCCAACACTCTGGGAGGCCGAGGCGGGTGGATCACCTGAGGTCGGGAGTTTGAGACCAGCCTGGCCAACATGGTGAAACCCTGTCTTTACTAAAGATACAAAAATTAGCCGGGCGTGGTGGCACACGTCTGTAATCCCAGCTATTCGGAAAGCTGAGGCAGGAGAATCGCTTGAACCCAAGAAGCGGAGGTTGCAGTGAGCCAAGATCCCGCCACTGCCCTTCAGCGTGGACGAGAGAGAGACTCCGTCTCTAAATAAATAAATAGAATGGCTTTAAAAAAAAAAAAAGGAAAGAAAAAGAAGTTACCGCTTTATGGCAATGGGTTGTACAGCCTGGCCCGTCCCATTAAAACAAATTCCTAAGAACCACGCAAAACTAGATTAGAATGCAAAGCTAAGCCACCTCTCTGGGCAAAGTCACACTGGTAGCCGGTGGGCTGAAACTGGTGTGCAGATGCCCTGCAAAATATAATTATTAATCTAAATGTGTTGTCACCATTTTAAAAATGTTTCTCATATTCATTTCTCGCTTCTCTTAGAATTCGTACAACAAACATGGACTGTGCACCTACTAAGGGCTTTACATTCACCACCTCGGTTTACCCCGCAGTACAAGCGTGTATGTCCATTTTAGAAGACGAAACTGAGGGCCAGAGAGGAACCGTGACTTGCCCACGGTAAGAGAGCCATACGGATTCGAACCCTGGCCAGATTCACTCTGGAGCTCAGGGTTCTCCTACTGCTCCACCCGTGGGAGGAAAGGCCCGGACCAGGCCATGAGGAGCCCTGGGTTCTGGCCCAGCCTCCGCACGAAAGCGCAGGGCTGCCCCAGGCGAGGCCCTCCGCCTCCCGGGGGGCTCAAATTCCCCTCCGGAAGTAACTTTCGAACAACCGCCGAGGGAACGTATTCAGGCCCTGAGCGGAGCGACAGCCGGGCCCACCAAGCGGCGCCGCTGGAGACAGGCCGGCCGGGAAAGCCAGGCCACCGCACCGAGGACGGCTCTCTCTCGGTTCCCACCCCACCGCAAAGCTGCGGCACTCACCTCCCGCGCCGCCGCGCCGCTCCCCCGGAAGTAGTTCCCTGCGACCCTGAGTCCCGGAAGTGACGCGCACTGAGCAACCAACCGGCTCTGTTCCGCCCGCGTTGCCAGGTTTCTGGGTGAGGCACCGCTGGGTTTTGTCGACTTTTGTCCCTGTTCTGTGGGTTCGAGCTGGACAAAGAGGTTTGGGGAAATGAAATCTAGAGCTTGTCAATTCTTTAAGCTCCTATATCACTCAGCTCGTTTCAGCAACATTTTTGTTTAATTAAAAAGAAAACAAAAGAAATTACTTCTCGGGGCTGGGCACGGTGGCTCACGCCTGTAATCCCAGCACTTTGGGAGGCCGAGGCGGACGGATCACTTGAGGTCAGGAGTTCGAGACCAGCCTGGTCAACATGGTGAAACCCCGTCTCTACCAAAAATACAAAAATTAGCCGGGCGTGGTGGCGGGCGCCTGTAATCCCAGCTGCTTGGGAGGCTGAGGCAAGAGAATCTCTTGAATCCCGGGAGGCAGAAGTTGCAGTGAGCCGAGATCGCGCCACTGCACTCCAGCCTGGGCGACAGAATGAGACTCTTCCTCAAAAAAAAAAAAAAAAAAAAAAAAAAGTTACTTATTCATCGCAATGGGCTGTATAGCTTGGCCCGTCTCATTGTAACAAATTCGTAAGAACTGCGCGAAACTAGATTAGAATTTTGTCCTATGCAAAGCTAAGCCATCTCCCAGAGCAGAGCACAGTCACAACTGGTAGCTGGTGAGCTAAAACGGGTGTGTAGCTGTCCTGCAAAATGTTCATCTGGATGTGTTGTCACTATTTCAAAAGTGTTTCTCACGTTCATTTCCTTAATTTTATGCCAGGTCCTGAGCTAGGAGCCTACAATGCAGAGAGGAGACAAACAGAAACACCTCTTGTAATTCAGACAGAAGCAAATCATTATAATTCATTCAAAAAGCATTCACTGAGCGCGTACTCTATGCTTTGTCCTTGTAACTGAGGACACAGTGCTAAAGCAGACACATACAGTCTCTGCCCTTGTGGTGCTTACAGTCCGTTGGAGGGAGACAGACTAATTAAATGAATGTGTAATCATATAACAGGATAAGTTTTTTGAAGGCAAAGAACAGTGTTCCATGATTAAGAAGGGGTGGGGGGCAAGTAGTAGGAGAAAAAGAAACCTAGATGAGAGTGTGATAACCAGCCTCCACCATAAACCCTGACGATTCTTGGCTCCTGATATCCATACCCCTCTGTAGTCACCTCCCACCAAGAATAAGACTGACCTGTATAACCCATAGGATATTGCGGAAATCTTGGAGCACGAGTTCCAAGATAAAGTCATAAAAGACATTGCAACTTCCTCTTTCCTCTGTCTTGATTGCTCATGGGGAATCCATGTTGTGAAGACACTCAAGCAGTCCTATGGAGAGGCTCGCATGGGGAGTAACTGAGCTGCCTGCCAACAACCAGCTCCAACTTGCCAGCCATGTGTATGAGCCAAGTGGCTCCAGCAGTCCTAGTCAAGCTTTCAAATGACTGTGGCCTGGCCAAAATCTTCAGTGTAAACTCAAGAGCAACCTTGAGCCAGAAATACCTTGCAATGCCACTTGAATGCCTGCCTCACAGAAATTGTGAAATACTAAATGTTATTGTTTTAAGCTCCTAAGTTTTAGGATAATTGGTTATGCAGCCTAGATAACATACATAGAGGATCAAGGAACAGAGGTTAGATACCAGAGACTCCAAAAAAAAAAAAGAGAGAGAGAGAGACCTATCTTGCCCTAAAGGAATTCAGTCTCTTAGAAGACAAATAATACACTCAACATTCACTAATCCCATACTATGTGAGGTGGCATGGGGGACCCAAAATGCATAATTTATTCATTTAAAAAATATTTATGGAGTTTCTACTCTGGATCATGCACTATGAAACTGGGAAGACAATGGTGAGTAGGTGGGATCCTACCCTGACTGTGCTTATAGACTAGGGGTCAATGTCTGTCACCCCCACTAATCAATCACACAGATAAATGTACACTTAAAAACCATGAGATGTGTTGGGAAGGAAGAAGGGGGAGCCATGAGAGAAGCAATAACATGGGAGATACAATCAAAAGAGAGGTGATGAGGGAAGACGTCCATGAGATCACATTTCTGGTAAGAAATGAAGAGTGGTGGCTCACGTCTATAATCCCAGCACTTTGGGAAGCTAAGGTGGACAGATTGCTTGAGCCCAGGAGTTTGAGATCAGCCTGGGCAACATGGCGAAACCCCGTCTCTACAAAAAATACCCAAAAAATTAGCCAGGCATGGTGGTGTGCACCTGTAGTCTCAGCTACTTGAGAGGCTGAGGCAGGACAATTGCTTGAACCTAGGAGGCAGAGGTTGCAGTGAGCCGAGGTCGCACCACTGCATTCCAGCCTGGGCAACAAAGCAATACTCCATCTCAAAAAAAGAAATGAAGAATGAGGAGGACTTTGCCAGGCAAAGAGAAGGAGGAAAAAGCACGATGGGTGGTGGAAAGGCTGGGTAGTGAGAAACGGCTTGGAGCCTAAGAATAGCTGAGGGGGTGACACTGAGGCCTGCAGGGTGCAGATGTTTAGGACAGGACTTACTACTTGCCCTGGAGAGACACACTGCAGGGTGTGAGTGAGGAGAGTGTTTTCTGGGTTGAATTGTGTCCCTCCAAAAAGCTGTGTTTGAGCCGTAACCCCCAGTACCTCACAATGGGATCTTATTTGGAGATAGGAGCTTTACAAAGGTAATCAAGTTAAAATGAGAGTGTTAGGGTAGTCCCTAATCCAGTATGACTGCTGTACTTATAAAAAGGGGAAATTTTGACAGGGCGCGATGGCTCTTGCCTGTAGTCCCAGCACTTTAGGAGGCTGAGATGAGAGGATCGCTTGAGCTCAGGAGTTGGAGGCTGAAGTGAGTTATGATCGCACCTCTGCACTCCAGCCTGGGTGGTAGAGCAAGACCCTGTCTCTAAAAAAGGAAATAGTTTATTTTAAATGAGGGGGAACATGGACACAGATGCACACATAGAGAGAACGTCATGTGAAGATGAAGGCAGATATCGGGACGATGCCTCTACAGCCAAGGAACACCACAGATTGCCAGCAGGCCACCAGAAGCTAGTCAAGAGGCATGGGACAGGCTCCTCACAGCCCTCAGAAGGTGCCACTGACGCTTTGATTTCAGATTCCTAGTCCCTAGAACTGGGAAAAAGTAAATATCTGTTGTTTAAACCATTCAGTTTGTGGTCCTTTGTTAGAGCAGCCCCAGCATACTAATCCAGGTGTGCAGGTGCTTTGAAACCTGTTACTCTCTGTATCCAAATGTAAAAGATCGCCCAAGTGACTGCTGCAGGCACAATGACAGGCACAGCTACTTGCTCACTCTCTAGAAGCTCTTAGAGGCCTCCAGCTGAGTTTTGCTGTCTCTGTGCCCTGCATGGCTCCATGAGCACCACAGCACGGAGGAGAGCTTTGTGGCAGGCTTATTTCTATGCCTAATATCTATGCAAGGCACAGTGATTGCACAATGAAGAAGAAAAAGCCAAAAAAGCCGTAGCCTCTTCTCTGAAAAATATTTTCTTGGAGTCACACTTGACTGAGTGAGCCAGTTTTGTATTAATTGTAGCTGCTGTTTATTGCATATTCATATGTGTAAAGGTGCCAAGCACTTTACACGTATCAATATTCTCCCCCAGCACCCTATAAAGTAGGCATTACAGGTGAAGAAACCTAAGGCTGGAAAAGTTAAGCAGCTTCCCTAAGGCCTCGCAGAGTCTGCATGCATAACCTTTGCACTACCCAGCTGACCTGTGCATGTCAGATGAGTGTACACACATGAAAGCTCTAGGAAGAGGGGCAGGATCAGCACGCGCCGAAGTATCTAGGAAGGCCTCGTGAGGGAGGCAGCTCAATGTGGGTCCCGAATGATGGGCTGGATTTGGATGTGGAAAAGGGAAAGTAGAGGTACGACATTTGCTTTTCCACCTTCAAACCATTGCCTTTGTCGGTCTCTCTGTCTAGAATGCTGTCTTCTGGCTCTCCACAAGACAGGTTCATTCTCTTTCCATAGGGCTCAGCCCCAATACCACCCATCCTGCCTCCCTCCCTCCCTCCCTTCCTTCTTTCTTTCTTTCTCTCTTTTTTTTTTTTTTTTGTTTTTGTTTTTTGGTTTTTGGTTTTTTTTGAGACAAGGTCTCATTCTGTCTCCCAGGCTGGAGTGCAGTGGCATGATCTCAGCTCACTGCAACCTTCACCTCCCCAGCTCAAGCAATCCTTCCACCTCAGCCTCCTGAGTAGCTGGCACCACAGGCATGTGCCACCACACCCAGCTAATTTTCATATTTTTGGTAGAGATGGGGTTTTGTCACGTTAGCTAGGCTGGTCTCTAACTCCTGAGCTCAAGCGATCCACCTGCCTTGGCCTCGCAAAGTTCTGGAATTACAGGCATAAGCCACCGCACCGAGCCCCAATATCACCTTTTCAAGGCTCCACTGACCACCCTTTGCAGCTGACTGTTTATCCTAAGTGGCTGGTATTCCCCATCCCACATGCTCTTCTACCCAGTGACTGCTTTGAGCAATAGACAATTGTGGAAGAGATGCTGTGTCAGTTTCAAGCATGGTGTTGAACTGGCCTGGAAATCAGCCACCATGCAGAAAGAACAACTATCCCGAGACCACCGAGCTGTGAGAAGCTCAGGCCACATAGGGAGAAAGAGTGCAGGGAGCATCAGGCATCAGACCCAAGAGTGAAGAAGCTACCTCAGAGCGGTGGAGAGATGGATGCATGTGTGTTAAAGTAAATGTGGCAGAATGAAAGTTAAGCATAGAATCTGTTAGGTTAAGGAATGGCAAAAACCGCAATTACTTTTGTTCCAACCTAATAGATGATGGGTATAGCATTTTTTGAACAATTCTTTTGGCTTTTTTGTATGTTTTAATTTTTCGTTTTAAAATTTTGGGCCAGGCACAGTGGCTCACGCCTGTAATCCCAGCACTTTGGAAAGCCAAGGCAGGCAGATCACAAGGTCAGGAGTTCAAGACCAGCCTGGCCAACATGGTGAAACCCCGTCTCTACTAAAATACAAAAATTAGCTGGGTATGGTGGCATGTGCCTGTAATCCCAGCTACTCAGGAGGCTGAAACAGGAGAACTGTTTGAACTAGGGAGTCGGAGTTTGCAGTAAACCAATATTGCGCCACTGCACTCCAGCCTGGGTGACAGAGCAAGACTCCATCTCAAATAAAAATAAAAAAATAAAAAAAAACATTTTTTGAACAAAGAAACTATCTTGGAAGTGGATTCTCTAGACCCAGGCACCTCAGCAGACACCACATGGGGCAGAGATGGGCCCAGGAGATGGAGCCCTCCGAGAGAGAATATCAAGTTCATAGAATGGGAACCCAGCTAGTATTTGTCACTTGGGCTGCCCAGCATCTGAGACCCCATTTGTGGGAATCCCAAGAAGCAGGGAGATAATGGCAGACGAATGGGAGGGACACGCTCCCCTCAATTCCTGCTGGAGCATGGACACTGGACCTAACCATGACCAGCCAGAAGCCTGACTCCAGACTCCGAATCTGGAGGTAGAAAGGCCAGCTGGAAGGGTTGGTCAGAGACAGTGGTAAGTCCAGAGTCCAGGGCCTTGTTCAGAGCAGGTGGCTGTCAGTCCAAGATCTGATCATGCCTGACTTGGGTGGTTCCTGCCTGAGCCAGGTATCACAGTGTTCCCAGCAACTCCTTCTCACCTTACGCTCAGCTCCAGCATGAAGCCAAGAA
This sequence comes from Homo sapiens, assembly GCF_000001405.40. Lineage (NCBI taxonomy): Eukaryota > Metazoa > Chordata > Mammalia > Primates > Hominidae > Homo > Homo sapiens. The sequence continues at coordinate 193,401 of NW_025791812.1, read as the reverse complement.
TGCTGAGTGCGGTGGATCCCACTGAGTCCAGAATGCAGGACCACAAGGAGAGGCCTCTCTTCTCCGGGCAGTGGGGACATTCTCCATGTGCCAGAAAGGTCAGCGATAAGTTCATCTTAGAGGCAACAGGGCCCAGGCAGCAGTGGAGACTCGCCACATTCTGGATTCTTTATTTGGGCCTCCAGGAGGCTCATAGCAGATAAGCAACTTCAGTTGTTCAAGGCCTGCTCTCCTCCTGCTTTCTACAAGGTGTGGACTCAGGGCTGGATTCCACACTCAGATATCTGTAAATCTACAGGGCTCAGGTCTGCTGCAAAGGAGGATAGGCTCACGTTGCCACCCTGGCCTCACTAGGGAGGGCATCAAACAGAATTTCCATCAGAAGAGGGATCACTTGCCAGAACTACACAGGGTCTACCCTTCCCAGGAAAATCAAACACCTTGATCTGTTCTTGAGACCCAAGATTTCCCATGGTTGTGAAACCTGAAAAGCTTCATTCAGCAGACACTTATTGAGCACTAACTGTATGTCAGAAAAATCCTAGGGACAATATCTTGGACTCCAGTTGGGGGAGATGGGCATAGAAACAAACTAAGATAATAGGATATTGTGAGAAGTGTGTGCGGTGCCAGGAAAACCCAGAACATCAGATTCTGTCTTGGTGATCAGGGAAGGCTTCCCAGAATAGGTGGCTTTCAGTCTCCAGCAGAAGGGTACAGCAGCAGCAAAGGCCAACGCCGGGACTTACACTCCCAGTGCACCCCAAAAAGAGACTCCAGAACTTCATCTCTCTAAAGCATTTCAGTCCCAGAGGCAGCACAAAGCTCACCCACATCCAGCATCTGGATGGCTTTAATTACCTCCACATTTACTAAGTGCCCCATTACACTTAGCTCTAACTGACAGCACAGTTGACACCCTGGGTTAAATTCACACTAAATATCCAATCATACACAGCACAAGCAGAATCACTTGTCCCGGGAAGGCACTTTTCCAGTTGAATAACGATGGTGCCTTTTAATTGTATGATGTTTTTCCTCTTGAGAGACTTTAAGCCAGACCAGCGCTCCCAGAGGGAGACAGAAACTGGGTGTCATCATCTCCATTTTGTAGTTGGATGAACTCAGGAAAGAAATCTGGCCCTGGCCACATAAGCTGGAATCTTACTCCTCCTTCAGGGCCCAGCTCAAATTACCTCCGCCTTGAAGATTCTTCGGTTCCTTCATCAGAATTTCCAGGCAGCATATGATGTTGGAAGAAGCTCTGGCTTAGGAAAAATGGCTGAGGCCTCACTGCACACAGACCCTGTGATGGATACCTGACCTGCGTTTGCTCACCTGATCCAGCAATCCCAAGGGAGCGTTTCCATGTCACACCTAAGGAAATGGAGGTATTGAGAAGCTGAATGATGGGTCTAGGATTACATAGTAATAACTGTTAAACCCAGGATTCAAAGCAAGATCTCTAAGCCCACTGTCTTAACCACGCACAATCCTGATCCATTCATTCATTCATTTAACAGGTATTTATTGAGCACCTGCTATATACTTAGTACTTTCTAGGAGTATAGTCCTTGCTAGGGATGAAGGAGTGAGGAAAACATAGTCCCTGCCCTAACAAAGGTTACTGTCTAGCAAGGAAGACAGATTTAAAATACTTCCATAAATGATTATTTAATTCCATATCAGGCAACGTTAGAAGAATTTAACTGAACTAGTTAAGACACTAGTGTGGCAGAAGAGGAAATCAGGTCGCTGGATGGCTCTGTGTTTTCTCTAATTCAGGGGTCAGTCATCTCTTCCTTTTTTCTTATATTCTGTAGCTAAGCAATGCCTGAAGATGCCAACGTTTGCTTTGGGAACTTTCACAGGTCATGTCCCTCTCTGAATCACAACTTTTCTAGCTGTTAAATGAGGATGAAAATAGCAGAAGACTAGGAGCAACCCAAATATTTATCAACAGGGGACTGCTTAAATGGTGATACATCTACACTATGGAACAGACTCTTAAAAACCATAAGGCGGCTGGGTGTGGTGGCTCACGCCTATAATCCCAACACTTTGGGATCTGCCCAAGGTGAGCAGATCACTTGATGTTGGGAGTTCGAGACCAGCCTGGCCAACATGGTGAAACCCCATCTCTACTAAAAATACAAAATTAGTGCTCACCTGTGATCCCAGCTACTCAGGAGGCTGAGGCATGAGAATCACTTGAACCTAGGAGGCAGAGTTTGCTGTGAGCCAAGATCACACCACTGCACTCCAGCCTGGACAACAGAGTGAGAGTCTGTCTCAAATTTTTAAAAAATTAAATTAAAAAATAAAAAGCATAAGGCAACTCTAAACGCTGGAGAAGGATCCCTAAGACAGACTGCGTGAAGGAAGCAAGGTACTGAGCAGTGGGGATGGAACCTGCCATATGTGTAAATAACAAAGGTGAAAGGTTTAAAAAAAAACCTTTTATATGTGTAGGCTGTCTCAGCAAGTCGGTAAGGAAGCACAAGAAACAGATCACGGGACCCCGCCCCCCACCCCGGCCCAGGGAGGAGACCTGGACACAGAGTCATTCAGAGACTCACTCTGAACATGCACCATTTTGTACCTTTTGAATTTTGCCTTCTGTGCGTGTTCCTTCTCAAAACAATCAATTCAAGAAAATTTTAATACAACACTTCGATGATGATAAAAATGCAGTCAGGTCCTGGCGAGGTGGCTCACACCTGTAATCCCAGCACTTTGGGATGCCAAAGAGGGTGGATCACCTGAGGTCAGGAGTTCGAGACTAGCCTGACCAACATGGTGAGACTCTTCTAAAAACGCAAAATTAGCTGGGCATGGTGGCGCATGCCTGTAATCCCAGCTACTCGAGAGGCTGAGGCAGGAGAAGCGCTTGAACCCGGGAAGCGGAGGTTGCAGTGAGCCGAGACGGCGCCATTGCAGTCCAGCCTGGGCAACAAGAACAAAATTCCATCTAAAAACAAACAAACAAATGAACAAAAAAAACGCAGCAAAATAGCCCTGCTCATATCAGCTACCTCTTGGGGTTATTGTTAGTTTCAAAGGAGAGGTCAGATGTGGCAGCCTCTTGGAAAATCTAAAACAATTATTCTTTGCTCCTAATGAGGTGAGAGAGGAATAAGGGTCCAAACCGAAAACAGGAGAAAAAAGGGGGAAAAGACAAGAGAAACAAAGAAGCTGTTCATACGCAGAACAGCCCACAGAGCAAAAATCCACGATTACTTTAGTGCCACTGAGACCCCAAGGCAGTTGTGCTACCTGCTTCTGTCTAGTCAGGTGCCAGGTTGCCATGGTAATGTAATAACTCCGTGATAAGCTTATTTTTTATTCTGAAAACATTGTTTTAAAAAGCCAGTAGCTGCAGATGGGCAACAGCGAGCAAAGAATGTGCTATGTGAGAGGCAGGAGCCGCGTGAACCCCCCACCCCCGCCCTGAAAACTGCCAGGGTTGGCCTAAAGCAAAAGGTTGCAAACCTGAGCACGCATCTGAACCTCCTGAAGGGCTGATTAAAACATAGATGGTTGTGCCCTACCCTAATCAGTTCCTGATTCAATAGAGCTGGGGTGGGGTACGTCTACCAAGTGCCCGGGAGGTGCAGATGGTGCTGACTGGGGACCACATTTGGAAAACCACTGTCCTATCTGATCTCTAAAAGCCTGTCCAACTCAGGATTCTGTGGGCTGTGGGCCCCAGCTCTTACTTGCCCTGAGGACATCATGCCCTCCACTGGCCCCCTATGTAAACTAAGAGCTACGACATCCTAACAGGAGAGCACAACGTGGGCGGTAAGGTAGGCCAAAGCACCTGGTGGGCCAAGGGGACAGAGGGCAGTTTCCAAGGCTGAGGCCAGTGCCTCACAAAGGCAACTGCCTGGGAAGATTGGCCAGCCTTTCAGCTGCCTTTGCCAGAACTCTCTCATGGGGCCAGTTAACTGGGTGTGATGGCCAACAGGTGCCACCGAGCCAGAGGAGAGGTGGCTGCCAGTCAAGGATGTAGTTCCGGGCCAGGCACGGTGGCTCACGCCTGTAATCCTAGCACTTCGGGAGGCTGGGGCAGGCAGATCACTTGAGGTCAGGAGTTCTTGACCAGCCTGGCCAACACGATGAAACCCTATCACTACTAAAAATGCAAAAATTAGCTGGGGGTGGTGGTGCATGCCTGTAATTCCAGCTACTCAGGAGGCTGAGGCAGGAGAATCACTTAAACCCAGGAGGCAGAGGTTGCAGTGACCCAAGATCACGCCACTGTACTCCAGCCTGGGGGACAAGAGCGAAACTCCATCTCAAAAAAAAAAAAAAAAAAAAAAAAGGAATGTAGCTCGGCAAGGGTCAGAGCTGGCTGGAGAGGATTTAACAGAAATGACAGAAGCCAAAGCCACATCTTCAGGCACTGATTTACCTTGATGGGATCCTGATTCCCCACCGAGAGATGGGCGGGACAAGTCTCAACACCCAGCCCCATCCAACACGTGCAGCAGGCTGAGTGAGAAAGCTGGCCGCGGGGCAAGAACACCATATTAATGGCAAGCCCTTGGAATTCAGGAATTCTTGTACGTTCAACAAATATTTCGAGTCCCAGCTATGCACCAGGCACTATGCTAGGTGACACATACGTGGGTGAAAAAGCAAGATACCGCCGCACCCTCATGGAACCTACATTTAAGTCAAAACAGATGTTATTCCATTAATCAGATCATTTATACAACTGTGGCTGTGTAAGTGAAGATCTTATTTAGGGGTAAAGGGGCAAGATATCTGCAAATTATGCTTAAGAGGTTCAGAAAAAACAATCATATATTATATGTATATAGGTATGATTACATATAATCTATACGTATACATATAAAGAGACAGGGAGAGAGAATCACAAAGGAAATGTGACAAAATGTTAACAATTGTTGAGTCTGGGAGTTTTTACAATTTTTTGTGTTTTTTTTTTTTTTGAGACAGAGTTTCACTCTGTCGACCAGGCTGGAGTGCAGTGGTGCAATCTCGGCTCACTGCAACCTCCACCTCCTGGGCTCAAGAGACCCTCCCGCCTCAGCATCTCAAGTCTCTGGGACTACAGGTGTGCACCACCATGCCTAGTTAATTTTTTGTACTTTTTTGTAGAGATGGGGTTTTACCATGTTGGCCAGGCTGGTCTTGAACTCCTGGGCTCAAGTGATCTACCCACCTTGGCCCCCCAAAGTGCTGGGCTTAGAAGAGTGAGCCACCGCACCCAGCCAGGAGTTCTTTTTATTTTTATTTAATTTTAAAAATTAAATAAAATTTAATTTAATTAAGTTAAAGATAATTTAAGCCAGGCACGATTGCTCACACCTGTAATCCCAGCACTTTGGGAAGCCAAGGCAGGTGGATTGCTGGAGCCCAGAAGTTCGAGACTAGCTTGGGCCACATGGTGAAACTCCTTCTCTACAAAAAATATGCAAAAAATTGCTAGGCGCGGTGGCTCATGTCTGTAATCCCAGCACTTTGGGAGGCCGAAGCGGGAGGATCACGAGGTCAGGAGATTGAGACCATCCTGGCTAAAACGGTGAAACCCCGTCTCTACTAAAAATACAAAAAATTAGCCGGGCATGGTGGCGGATGCTTGTAGTCCCAGCTACTCAGGAGGCTGAGGCAGGAGAATGGAGTGAACACGGGAGGCAGAGCTTGCAGTCAGCCGAGATCACGCCACTGCACTCCAGCCTGGGCAACAGAGCGAGACTCCATCTCAAAAAAAAAAAAATATATATATATATATAAAATTAACCGGGTATGGTGGTGCATGCCTGGAGTTCCAGCCACTCAGGAGACTGAGGTGGGAGAAGCACCTGAACCCTGGAAGTTGAGGCTGCAAAGCCGAGATTGTGCCACTGCACCCCAGCCTGGGTGTCGGAGTGAGACTGTATCTCCATAAATAAATAAATAAAATTCATTTAATTTAAATTATTTAATTTTTGAAATATTATTTTTTTAGAACCAGGGTCTCGCTGTGTTGTGCAGGCTGGAATGCTGCGGCAGTCATAGCTCACTGCAGCCTTGAACTCCTAGGTCAAGCAGTCCTCCCACCTTAACCATCAAGTAGCTGGGACTACAGGCTCGTGCCATCACAGCCAGCTAATTTGCTTGCTTTGTTTTTTGTAAAGATGAGGTCTCGCTATGTTGCCCAGGCTGGTCTTGAACTCCTGGGCTCAAGCGATCCACCCACCCGGGCTTCCCAAAGTGCTGGGATTACAGGCGTGAGCCACCGCACCTGGCCTATAGAGGTTTTTGTATTATTCTTGCAACTTTTCTAAAAGCTCAATGTTGTTTCAAAATTAGACATTTTTTTAGAAACATGTAAATCACATAATACACATAAATTCATTAAATACATTAAAGAATGATAAAATCACATAAATACATTAAGAATGATAACAGTGAGGAGCACTATTTTTTAAAAGTGACTAATGACGTAAGAACTTAAAATGGAGTGGTTTGTCTTATCAGAAGGCCAAGGAGGGCTTCCTGGAGGCAACACATTTAAGCTAAGGTCTGAGTGGAAGTTGATCGGGGGAAAGAGCTGCCTTCCAGGGAGAGGACACAGCAGAGGCCATGCAGCAAGAAAGAACAGAGCACCTTGGAGGAACTGAAAAAAGAAATCAGAGCAGCTGGAGCCAAGAGCCACACAGCCCCTCCTTCCTCACGTGATGATGAGCCGGACAGAGGGCAAGGTGTCAGGAAAGGGCTTCTCTTCTGGCCCAGGATGGGGTCTGTTTTGTTTTTCCTCTGCCCTTTCGGGTTCAAGTTCTTCTGCAACTTCCTCTGGCTCCCCTCCAATCTCAAGTTCTTCAGACTCTGCTCAAATGCAGTTCCCCAGGTCAAGGTCCCAGAATCCCAGCAACATATGGCAACTGGACCTGCCGGCTTTCACAGCCCCCTCCCCTTTAGCTCCATCTCAGCCCCACATCCCTGGTCCCCATCCGTCAACCCCTTTACCTGCCATTAAAATGAAACAAAACAACAAAAAAAAACACATTGGGCTGTTGTTTCAACTTATTTCTTCAATTTGCTTCCTGAGCCTCAGGCAGCTGGCTCCATCTGTGGACGGCTCTGTGCAGTTTCCACGTGCTCTCCGTCTACCATCCATTTCCAGAGAGCTCACGTAGTGCTGCGTTTCAGATTTCCTCTGGGGCGTCAGCCAAGAGCAACGCTGGGTGATTTTGTAGCATGAACCTGCATCATCAACACATGGCATCCTTCACCGAGGTTAGCCAAGTATTCTTTTTTTTGTTTGTTTGTTTTAAGACAGAGTCTCACCTGTTGCCCAGGCTGGAGTGTAGTGGTGTGATCTCGGCTCACTGCAACCTCTGCCTCCTGGGTTCAAGCGATTCTCCTGCCTCAGCCTCCCTAGTAGCTGGGATTACAGGCACGCGCCACCACACCCTGCTAATTTTTGTATTTTTAGTAGAGACGAGGTTTTGCCATGTTGGCCAGGTTGGTCTTGAACTCCTGATCTCAAGTGATCCACCCGCCTCGGCCTCCCAAAGTGCTGGGATTGCAGGGCACGAGCCACCGCTCCCGGCCTATCCAAGCATTTTGCAGATGCAGTGTAACATTGAGCCAAATCCTAGTAACGCTTTCTAAACCCCAGGAAGTAAGCACTGTTTCACTAGGTATTCACTGAATCAGAGAACTCGACTCTTAAAGGAAATGATGAGGTCTTATGGTCTAATACCCTCACTTTACAGACAGCTCAGGTAAGTCAAGGAATTTGCCCAAGGTCACAGAGCAATTTCATGGAGGAGCTGGACCAATATATATATTTTTTTTTTTAAGAAAAAGTCTCACTTTGTTGCCCAGGCTGGAGTGCAGTGGCACGATCTCAGCTCAATGCAAACTCCACCTCCACGGCTCAAGCAATTCTCGTGCCTTGGTCCCCCAAGTAGCTGGGATTACAGTGCTTGCCAACATGCCTGGCTAATTTTTGTATTTTTAGTAGAGACCACACCTGGCTAATTTATTTTTTTTTTCTTTTGAAATGGAGTCTTGCTCTTGTCACCCAGGCTGGAGTACAGTGGCACGATCTCGGCTTACTGCAGCCTCCACCTCCCAGGTTCAAGCTATTCTCCTGCCTCAGCCTCCTGAGTAGCTGGGATTACAGGCGCACGCCACCACGCCCTGCTAATTTTTGTACTTGTAGTAGATACGGGGTTTCGCCATGTTGGCCAGGCTGGTCTCAAACTCTTGACCTCAGGTGATCCGCCTGCCTCGGCCTCCCAAAGTGCTGGGATTAAAGGCATGAGCCACCGGCTAATTTTTGTATTTTTAGTAGAGACGGGGTTTCACCAGTCTGAGTCTCAAACTTCTGACCTCAAGTGATCCACCTGCGTCGGCCCCCCAAAGTGCTGGGATTACAGATGTAAGCCACTGCACCTGGTCTAGAAATCTGATTTCTTGATGCCTAGTAGAAGGTCAGTGTCCACAATAACCAGTTAATAATCAATGGACATGACCTCTCAGGAAGCTGGGATTCTGAATAGCAGCAACTGAAGAGCCTTTATCTAAGAAGTGAGCAGTTTGCACAGCCTTGTGGGAAATAAACCCCATGCCTCTATCTCATTGCATTTAGCAATACTGTATTTGTTGTGTTATTTTTATCCATTTGGTTTCACTCTAGCCCGGGTTCCTATTTCTCATTTATGACTAAAGACCCTCGCATGAGGAAAGGGGAAGTCAGAAAGAAAGAAGAGTCTTGTCTTTTGTACTCTGTAAACCTTTCCAGTCTTTTTTTTCTTCCTTTATAACATTTCCTTTCCAGAGCCAGACAAGCTTCTCAAATCTCCTGCATTTCCAACCCCCTGTTCGCCTTGGCTGTAATTATCTTGGGAAAATTTAAATTCCTTATCATGGCTTTGTGACAGTGCTGGCTCAAGATATACAAGCCCACTTCCATTCTGAGGTCTTGTCAGATTGTCCTCGATAGGTTTCCTTAATAGGAATTATTGTTAGATTTTTTTTTTAAAGTGTGATAATGGGATTGTGACTATGTCTAAAAAAGAGCCTTATCTTTCTGAGATACATACTGAAATATTTATCGATGAAATAATATGAAGTCTGTGGTTTTCTTCAATATATTCTAGTGGGAGAAGGAATGAAAAATAGGCTCACTTAATATGCTGGTCTCCCCTGCCTCTGTCCTGCAAGTTATTCTTTTTTTGTTTTTTTAGATGGAGTATCGCTCTGTCCCCCAGGCTGGAGTGCAATGACATGATCTCAGCTCACTGCAACCTGCCTCCCGGATTCAGGTGATTCTCCGGCCTCAGCCTCCCGAGTACCTGGGATTATAGGTGCCTGCCACCACACCCGGGTAATTTTTGTATTTTTAGTAGAGATGGGGTTTCACTACTTTGGCCAGGCTGGTCTCAAACTCCTGACCTCAGGAGATCCACCTGTCTCAGCCTCCCAAAGTGCTGGGATTGCAGGCGTGAGCCACCGCGCCTGGCCTCCTGCAAGTTCTTTTTGCTGCATCTTCCTCACCTCCACCCATTCACCCCCAATCTTTGAATCTGTTTATTTTGTGTCTGGGGACAGGATTTGCCTTTGGGAGACTCAGCCAAGAGAGTATGGGCACTGGAGCCAAAGAGACTTAGGTTCAAAACTCCAGCCTTACCCTGCTAAGCATAGTGGCCATGGACAAGTTATTTAATTGTCTGAGTCCCAGTTTCCCCATCTGCAAAGTGGAGATAATAAATTAAAAAACAACCAAACAGCTACTTTTCTAGTGTGTTCTTCTTGCCTCTTTCCTTCTCCTTTCCCTCCCCTCCCCTCCCCTCCTCTCCCCTCCCCTCCCCTTCTCTTCGCTTCTGCTTTTGACATGGGGAGTGGGTGTCTTGCTTTGTTGCCCAGGTTGGTCTCAAACTCCTGGCCTCAAGCAATCCCACCTTGGCCACCCAAAGTGCTGGGCTTACAGGTGTGGCCCAGCACACCTGGCCTCTTTTTCTAATTCTGCCTCCACGTGCCCTGAAGATTCGTAAGCAGTCTACAGTCTTCTAATACCTCTTTGCTCTTCAAAGTCTCAGCCAGACGTGGTGGCTTATGCCTGTAATCCCAGCATTCTGGGAGGCCGAGGCTGGCAGATCACCTGAGGTTGGGAGTTTGAGACCAGTCTGACCAACATGGAGAAACCCTGTCTCTACTAAAAATACAAAATTAGCCAGGTATGGTGGCGCATGCCTGTAATCCCAGCTACTTGGGAGGCTGAGGCAGGAGAATCGCTTGATCCCAGGAGGCAGAGGTTGCGGTGAGCCAAGATTGCACCATTGCACTTCAGCCTGGGCAACAAGAGCAAAACTCCCTCTCAAAAAAAAAAAAAAAAAAAAAAAAAAAAAAGCTCTCCCCTCAACTTCAACCACCTTCTCCAAGCTTCGGACAAGATCCAATACCTGTTACCCACATCCTCCTGGAGGTCACATGAGTGAAAAACTCAACTCATGCAAATTGGCTCTATTGTTCCTCCCCTCAACCCACTGCCCTGGTGCATCCTGATCAGCCCTTGAGGCCCCCCAGCCCATTCTCAACAACCTCTCCTTCACCTTCCTCATCCATCTACTGCAGGCCTGCGCCCCATTTTTCAGAGCCCTCTCAAATCCAGCGCCCCCACTCCCATGCTCCTTGCCCACCGCCCCCCCAAACCCCCAGCTCAGGCCTCCAGGATGGCTGGCCTGGACAGCTGTGAAAGCTTCCTCACTGGGCTTCTTCTCTCTAGCCTCTCGGGTCTCTGTTCCTCCCACCAGGCTGCTGGCAACATTTTCCTTCCAAAACCACCACTCCAGGGCTTGAAAGCCTCCAATGGACTCTCTCCATTGAGAACAAGACAGGTCCAAATTCCTTAGCATGGCATTTAACACCCTGCACAGCTTGGCCCTAATGCATTGTTCCAGATTCATCCACATTTCTTGCCGCTGAAGCCACAGGCCCGAGTTTCCCAGTCTGTGGGACCTCGCACCTGTACCAGAATCACTTGAGGCCCTAGTTAAAAATTCAGAACCCTGGGCCCTACCCTGGACAACTGAATCTGGGGTCCAGGTCCGAAGCCCAGAAAGATGTGAGGACCCTCACTCCAGCCACACCAAATAATTTGTTGTTCACTAACCAGGCCTCCAAGCCTTTGCTCAGGCTGGATTAATTTTTCCTCTTTCTTCAAGATCCAGCTTAAAAGTCACATCCTGGCCGGGCACAGTGACTCACGTCTATAATCCCGGCACTTTGGGTGGCTGAGGCAGGTGGATTGCTTGACCCCACAGGTTCTAGACCAGCCTGGGCAACATGGAGGAACCCCGTTTCTGCAAAAAATACAAAAGTAGCCTGGCATGGTGGCACGTGCCTGTAGCCCCAGCTACTCAGGAGGCTGAGGTGGGGGAATCACCCAAGCCCAGGAGGCAGAGGTTGCAGTGAGCCCAGATCATGCCACTGCACTCCAGCCTGGGTGACAGAGTGAGACCTTGTTTCCAAAAAAAAGGAGCCAGACGAGGTGGCTCACACCTGTAATCCCAACACTTTGGGAGGCTGAGGGGGGTGGATTATTTGAGGTCAGGCATTCAAGACCAGCCTGGCCAACATGGTGAAACCCCATCTCTGCTAAAAATACAAAAATTAGCCGGGCGGTAGTGACGCGCACCTGTAATCCACTACTCCGGAGGCTGAGGCAGGAGAATCGCTTGAGCCCGGGAGGCGGAGCTTGCAGTGAGCCAAGATCGTGCCACTGCACTCCAGTCTGTGCGACAGAGTGAGAGCTTGTGCCCCCCTCCCAAAAAAAAGTTACATCCTAGGCAAAGCCTTTCCTGCTCCTTAGCAGGGTGAAGGCCACACCCACTCTGCTCCCACAGCTCCTTGTATGCACCTCGATTATAGACTGTGTATATCACACTGTGTAATTATCTGTTTGCCCACTTGTCTAGCTAGGATGAAAATTGCACCAAAGCAAGTCCACAGAATGCCTGGAGCCCCCAACTCGGTGAATGGCACATAGCGGCACTTGATAAATATCAGTTCATTTGAATTGTGCTTTACACTTCCTTGGCTCCTGGACACCAAACACAGCACTTAGCACCTGATGGGTATTATTACATCGATATCTGATGGATAAATTATCAAAGGATGGAAGGAGGCAGGAATAAAAGACAAAATATGCCAATAAATTAATGATGACTTTTCATCATCAATTAATATCCTGGAATGTTTGTGCATGCCTGGGACCATCTCTCACCTGAAGGACGTGGCAATTGGGTCAGAGATCAGATGGATCCTGGGACTTCTGGCTCCAAGTTCACGGGTGAAATCAGCAGACCAAAGTTCTGATGTTAATCAGAAATGTCACTATCACCATGACAAGTGCAAATGTAAAGTGCAGTGCCATCTTCCATTGCAGTGTCCTCACTTGTCACCTTTATCACTCCACCTCGCAGGACCCACATGGACCCTGCTGATACCAATCCATGGGAAATCAAGCTGGCAGAAATTAGCCCTGGGCTGCTGAGGCAGGGTCAGGGATAGCACTGTTCCGGGGCAGGCGAGCTTGTCTGGAGGCAGGCAAGCCCCACTCCTAACCCCGGCCTCTCCATGTACCGTCTGTATGAGATTGGACGAGTTACCCAATATCTCCAAGACTCAGCTTCTTCCACCATGAAATGAGAGCACTATGTGTTCCTAAGGCTCAAGGTTGTTGAATGAGATGAGATCACGTATGTTACGTGACTGGCATGTAGATGTTACTGCTAGACTGCGGAAATCCAGGACAGCTAGACTCCGTGAGTCATTGGGTGGTGGTGACTGGGGCTGACCCCAGGGGGACAGGAGCTAGGCAGGGAGCCAGGTCTCACTCAGCCATGGATTCCAGGTTCTGGGCCTTAGAAGAGGTTCCAGCTTCAACAGGGCCCAGCCACTGGGGAGTCAGGAGCTGGGGGCCTGGGTGTGGAGGCTGCTCTTCCTTCTGCTCTGTGGCCTGGGTGTTCAGGGACTAAACCAGGCAGGGTGGGAAAGGCCCAGAGAGTGGGAGCTCCAGACCCTAGAGGGAAACCCCAATGACTCTGCTTCTAGTCTGGAGTGAGGGCCGTTTGGCCCTGACTCAAACCTGAGTTTGCTGCAGTCGAGGCTATTAGGGTTCCTTTAACTGCACTGTAACCACAGAGGGGAAGTAAGACCGTGAGATAACCTGGCTCTGACATGGGAAGTAGAAACTGGAAGCTGAAGTCCCAAGCAGGCCTTGACTTTTGCCTGTGGACACTCAAATCATGGGAATTCTTCTCACTGTGTCTGCAGGTCCTGTTGTCACTAAGATCCCCCAACTCAGAGATTCCAAGCGAGGGCGGTCCTCCCTGTAGACACCCCCTCCTTGCTGGTCTGAGCTCTTCTTGCCTGATGAGCCAGGCTGAGGGAGACTCTGTAGGATGCACTTCCTTTTTTTTTTTTTTTTGAGACAGAGTCTTGCTCTGTTGTCCTAACTGGAGTGCAGTGGCATGATCTCGGCTTACTGCAAACTCCGCCTCCCAAGTTCAAGTGATTCTTCTGCTTTAGCCTCCCACGTAGCTGGGATTACAGGCGCATGCCACCAAGCTCAGCTAATTTTTGTATTTTTCGTAGAGATGGGGTTTCACCATGTCGCCGAGGTCGGTCTTGAACTCCTGGCCTCAAGTGATCCACCCACCTCAACCTCCCAAAGTGCTGGTATTATAGGCATGAGCCATTGCGCCTGGCCAGATGCCCTTTCTCCTGTGGGCTTTCTCCTGAGATCCTGGGGCAGGGCTGGGCTTGGGGCAGGGCTGGGCTTGGGGATCACACAGTCTTCCCTATCTGGAAACATAGCTGAGAACCCAGGGCAGCAACGGTCAGGGAAAGATGGGAGGAGGCGCAGGTTGAGTGGCCGATGAAAAGGTGGCATGACAAACTTGACCTGACCCTTTCGTAGTCCTGGGATTTCACAGCGAACAAAGCCCCACAGGCGGGGCCTCTGGCATTTGGTAGCAAAACCTGACAACTCCAATGACTGGGGAACAGCGACATCTCCCGGCTGTCTGAGGCCATGGCCCTCCTACCTGATCAGAATCCCGGGCATTTAGACACCAGGGTGCCTAATGCCTTTAGAATCCTCACAGATTTTAGCCTTTGATTCAATTGGTCCAGAGTGGAGCCTGACATTCTGCATTCCTAACAAGCCCCCAGGTGCTGTCAATACTGCTGGTCTATGGACCACACTTTGATTAGAAAGCTTTAGAGGGCTCAAAGATTTGGTCCCAGGCATCCCAAGGGTCTCAGGAAAGGAGACAATTTTCTGCATATAAAATTATAAAATCACTCAACCACAGGCAAGGCCAGGGAGGGAGGATGCTTCTTGAAGAGATGGCCTCCAAGGGGGCTTTTGAAGTATGGTCATATCTTCACCAGGGAAAGGTTACCCGAGGATCAGCTGGGGACAGCCTCCTATGCAGCAGGCGTGGCACCTGCACCAAGTCTACCAACTCAAAAAACAACCTGGTTAGTGTGCCTAATTGACTTGTGGCAGGCCCAAAGATTCCAAGCAAGGTGAATGTTTAAAATACTCATGGGCCAGGTGCAGTGGCTCACGCCTGTAATCCCAGCGCTTTGGGAGGCCGAGGCAGGCAAATCACTTGAGGTCAGGAGTTCAAGACCAGCCTGGCCAACATGGTGAAACCCTGTCTCTACTAAAAATACAAAAATTAGCTGGGCATGGTGGCTTGTGCCCATAGTCTCAGCTACTTGGGAGGCTGAGGCAGGATAATTGCTTGAACCTGGAAGGCGGAGGTTACAGTGGGCAGAGATCGCGCCACTGCACTCCAGCCTGGGTGACAGAACGAGACTGTCTTAAAAAAAAAAAAAATTAGTGCCGGGTGCGGTGGCTCACGCCTGTAATCCCAGCACTTTGGGAGGCTGAGGTGGGTGGATCACCTGAGGTTGGGAGTTCGAGACCAGCCTGGCCAACATGGTGAAATCCCATCTCTACTAAAAACACAAAATTAGTCTGGCATGGTGGTGCACGCCTGCAATCCCAGCTACTGGGGAGGCTGAGGCAGGAGAATCGCTTGAACTCGGGAGGTGGAGGTTGCTGTGAGCTGAGATCATGCCATTGCACTCCAGCCTGGGCAACAAGAGCTAAACTCCATCTCAAAAGAAAAAAAAAATTAAAATACTCGTGGGAGTAACATTTCCAAGGAACCCAGAGTTGCTTCATTGATTTGCTAAGTACAATCAACCTCATCTCTTCATTAAAAGAGCTCTTCTAATGACTTTCCCAGATGCAGACTTTTTGAGAAAGAAATGAAGCTCTGAGCTGCCATCCAATCACAGGCCCTTCTGTTTGGGTAGGACCCTGTGAAGCAGGGGAAAGGACCACATCATCTCCATTTTACAGAAGAGGAAACTGACACTCAGGGAGGTTAAGTGACTTTGCCTGAAGCCACCTAGCAAGCCCACACCACTTAAACCTGGTCTCCTCTGACACAGTACCCTGGAGCACTCAGACACCTGCTGCTGCTGAT